>NC_000010.11:88173398-88476428 GCF_000001405.40 Homo sapiens | reverse complement strand
GGTCCATGGACCAGTGCCCATCAGCAAACTATGTGTAATTAGTTTACAATGGATTAGATATTGAAAAGTGATTAGAAACTTCTGTAGTAATTTGCTATTGTCATGACATCCAAATATATGATTTTTGTATTTAACAAAAATCTAAGTCATCAATGCATTAGAAGTTTAAGAAAATGAAAAACAGTAACAACCACCAAAACAAAAACAAAATGTAAATCCTGTTTCTTCAACATATTAATTTGTTCTGTGAGATTTTAATAGGCATTCCATAAAAAGCACATCCGTTCCTTAGATAGGTTTGGAAGGGACTGATATAAAATAAATCATGTAAGTTATTGTCTTCTGGACTCCCAGGATCTGCATTGTGAACCTCCAAGTGAAGGCAGGGTAAGAAGAGTCTCCTGAATCATAAACCCCTGGATTTATAGAACATCTCCAAAGAGTAATGTCCTGTAGAGGATCCTTTACCTAAAGAGTTAGTATTTTTCTGCTATTTTTAACTTTTCAGTTGCTTCCTATGCAGCTTTAGAATAGGACTATCATTTTTAAAACTTGATTTTTCCCCTTAATTTTTTAATTTTTGAAATGCAGCCTGCAATATTACCATTGTAATCAATGTTACTATTTTTCTAATTTCATGGATTTTGTATTTTCTTAATTAAAAATTTTAAAAGGCTGACCAAATGCTCAAGAAGACACAAAGTCCCACCCCCCAAAAGCCAGAGACCATGTTTTTCCTGTGATCTCTGGATCCTCACAGAGAGTGTAGAGGGAACAGCTGCAGTTTTTAGGAAGGAAAATAATTGTGTTGCAAAATACCTCTTGACATAGGAAGGTGAGATTAGAGACTGAAAGGACATTGGAATGAATCCGAAAAGAAAAGGTTTTTTAATGCTGCTAATAGAAGTTAGAAGAAAAGAAAGGACAACTGAGGGTTAAAAAGATCATTGAAAATGTACTCGAAGAAAATGAAAAAGTGTTCCTTAAATTGCTATTAGATTTCAGGGCTCTGAGGCTAAGATCTAGCCCCAGGAAGAATTTTTAGGGAGAAGATTGCTTCATTTCAAACTAGATTGGGCTTCCTTATTTTTAGCCAGAACACTCAGTTCCAGATGCCTTTCTCTTGAGTTTGATAACATTAAAGCGGCTCGGTTGGTTGCTGGCCATCACTTTTAGTGTGAGGCACTAATAAAGTGTGGAGCAGGTGAAAATCCCAATGAAATTGGGCTAACTCTACAAATGTGTAAAAACAGCTTCATACTTGGAAAAGCCACAGTGAATGCCAGGGCTGCCCTGTCGCCCTGTGTGCCCAAGCCTCCTGACTTCTTCATTACATCTCACATTGTCACCTTTCTATCTTCTTGGATCTCAGCCTCAGTTTCGCCAGTGTCTACTTTCCCTCTGCCTTCAAACATACATGGCAGTCCACTATCTTGTTGCCGGGGGGAGCTGACTACTTTCTCCAACTACTTTTTATATCCTGTTTTTGTAAAACTTCTCAAACAAGGCATCATATTTCTTTGCTACCTGCTTTTCCCCAGTCTCAGGAGTCTGGCCTTAATAATGAGGCAGCAACTATAGCCAACTTGACTAAGAGCTGACTGCACCAGGATCAGTGCTTAGAGCTTGGCATATGTTACTTCATTGAATCCTCAAATAATCCTCTGAGTCAGGTATTACACCTATTGTAATTTTATAGATGAGATGCTCAGGTTTAGATTAAGCAATTTGCTACACAGAGACACTATTGACAGGGCTGGAACAGAGCCCAGGTCTGACTGACCTCAACACATTTTCTTAACTACCTTTTTGTTTACTCAAAAGTGCCAGGAAAATGTTCTCATTTAAGCCTTCCAACTTGAAGAGGTATTATTATAATCCATTTAATACACTTGCTGTGAACTAGGAGAGTCACCGCCTTCCTACAGGGCATTTGCAAATTTGTCCAGGTATTTGGTTGTGGGAATACTGGAGGTGGGAATGCTGCTAGCATTTAATTGCTAGAAGAAGGAGGGACATAGGTGTGGGAACTGCCATGCAATGCTGAGAAATACCTCACGCAACAAAGAATTCTCCTGCCTCAAATGCCAATTATGCCCCATTCAGAAACAATGATAATGGATGAGAATTTAATAATGGATTCAGAAAGCCTAAATAACTTCCCTGAATCTGGAGCCATAAATCAAACTGAGATCTGTCTGGCTCTAAAGGTTGTTTTTTTTTCTGCTCAATTCAACTTCATCTAACAGAACATTAAAATATTATGTATAATTTGATTTGCTCCCACAATTACCATATTTTATATGCAGCATCTCAAATATAATTTATTTAGAGAATACTTAACTAATTTCCTGATTGAATGTTATTTTAATACATTTAATGGAGATAGCATGTATCATAGTATTTGCCAGATTTTCACAAGGATGCTAAAATTTAATGAAAGAAACCATCAACATTGTATTAAACAAGGAAAGCTGCATATTCTGGAACATGCTGTCTTCTGCACTGACAACCAGGAGCAGAAAAGACTCATTTATGAAAGGAAAAGAAGGAGGAAAGAGAGAAGCTTGGTGAAGAAGAGAGGAGAGAAAAATATATATATATGGCTTTTTATTTAATTAGTCTTATACACTGAGCCCTGACCTGTCAATTGCAATGTTTCCTTCCTCTGAAACTTCATTTTTAAAAAATCTCCTTTATAAACATTCTAAGGTCTAAAGGGTTGCCCAAATTTAAATAAGATTTTCTACTTTCTATATTTAAAGACGTCTTCTTAATGTGCTTCTTTCTAAAATAAATGCATGGTATATATTTTTTGTAGCAGTCATGGGTTGTACTAGGCAAAGACCTTGTCATGCTTGGTAAAGAAGGGCTGTGCTTTTCATAATCATAGATTGCATACCTGGACTGTACACTTGAACATGACTCAAGTCTCCAAAGTTTAACCATCATTTTATAACATCAAGGCCTGTGTGCCATATTTGTGTGTGTGTGTGTGTGTGTTTTACTACCCAGAAAAATAAAATGGTAGTTTCTGCTTCACCCAAGTGCCTACATTTGAAACACATATCATGCAAGACAAACTCTCATCTTGAGTTGCTGGTAGGAAAAAAAGGATCTTTCTTTATGCCATTTTTCTTCTTCCTATTTTCACCGTTTGAGATATACAGTCATGTGCCACATAATGGTGTTTCAGTCAACACCAGATCACATATACGTCAGTGGTCCTATAAGATTATCCTACGATATTTTTACTGTACCTTTTCTATTTTTACCTGTGTTTAGATACACAAATACCATTTTGCTACAGTTGCCTACAGTATTCAGTACAGTAACATGCTGTACAGGTTTGTAGCCTAGGAGCAATAGGCTGTATCACCTAGCCTAGGTGTGTAGTAGACTGTTCATCAAGGTTTGTGTTAGTACACTCTATGATGTTTGCAAAACAACAAAATTGCCTTATATTTCTTAGAACATATCCTCACGGTTAAGTTATGCATGACTAGTTAAATTCCCAACATAGACGATTTTCTGGGACCCATAATTAACAGAGAATTTCAGACTTTGTGGGTGATAAGAGTATCTGAGTGCTTGTTAAAAATGTAGATTTCCAAACCCTGTGCTAGAGACTTGAATTCAGTAGCTCTTGGGAAGAGTGAAATGCTTTGTCAACAAGCTCCCCCAGGTGATGGGGTGCCTGTAGTTCATGGAACACACTATGAAGACAAATAGTTTGGTACTTAATAAGCCTCTAATAAATAGTTGTTGAATATATGAATGTGACTATATGAATATATGAATGTGGCTGTACTAACAGCTTTATTCCTGTCAACAGAGGCTTTTACCTATAACCACAGAAGCTTATATTCCTAGGAAATTCTTACCTTTTCCTTCCCCTCACCTTTGTCCACCTATTTTCGGCAACTCTTGAAGTCTTGTTTGGGCAGATCCCTTCCATTTTCATGCCTATCGTGCTGCTTTAGCACCTCCTGTCTCGGGCTTGTTAACAGGTTCCCCAGGCTCCAGACTCTTTTGACTTCAACTCATCTTTAAAACCACTACCAGATTAATCTTCCTCAAACCTGTGCTTATCTGTATTTAAGACTCTTCATGATTTGACTCAACCTACTTTTCCCCTTAATTTCCTTCTCTTCTTCTCTTTAAAATACCAGATCCCACTCTTGTCCCTAATTGTGCTTTATACACCTCCTTCTCACTGCTTTGCTTATGCCATCCCCTTCCCAGCCCTGGGCAGGAAGGAAGGGGTTAACTCAGCAGGCCTGGGTTATTCAAATCCTGCACATTTCAAAGAAATGCCTGCCTTCAGGACTAGCCCTTGGTCAGCTCCTGGGAATTAACCTCTGAGCTCTTGAAATATTCTTCCAGATAAGAGTCTTTTTGTATGCCTGAGGCCTTGGACCATGCTGTACAGATAAATTTATCCTGACGATGTGATTTATGGTGAAGACTTTTTTTTTTCTTTTAGGTAGGGGGAGGCTGGAATCTCAGTAGCTGAGGTCAGTTAAGGGGCCTATATTGCTGATCTCCAATAACAACTCTGGACACCAAGGCTCATGTGAGCCTTTCTGGTTGGCAACATTGAGCATGTGTTGTCATACATTGTTGCTGGGAGAATTAGACACATCCCCATGAGACTCCATGGGGAGGGGACCACAAAAACCTTGCACCTGGTTTCTTCTGGACTTCCAAACATGTACCTTCTCCCTTTCCTTTGCTAATTTTAATCTGCGTCCTTTCACTATAGTAAACGATACCCTGTGAATTTAACAGCTTTTCTGAAGCCTGTAAGTTCTTCTCATGAATCATCAAGCCTGAAAGTGGCCTTGGGAACTCGTGACACCTCTCCACAGAATGGCCCTCTCTTTTCGCCTTACAGTACTCTATACATTCTTCCAGAGACTGATAAAATCCCTTCCCCTTACTTTGCCTTCCCCAAAAGGTAGCCAGCAAGCAGCACCCATTGCTGGTGAGAGTGCCCACTGGAAAAGGCCTCTCTGAAAAGAAATTTGGCCATGTTAGCAAAACTTAAAATGGGCATAACATTGACCTAGCAGTTCCACTTTTTTGGAGTTTATTCTGTAGAAATCCACACCCAAGGCTGCAATTAGTGTGTTGCAGTCTTATTTATTGAAGTCAAAATTGGAAATAATTCAGTTATCTATTAATGACAATATTAATAGAATAATCCCTTAATAGTAATATTATGGAATAGATATATTGATATAGCTCCATGTACTGAGCACATTCTGTTCCAGCCTTGTGCTAAGTGCTTTACTTAAATATTTTCCTTGAAAATCTTCCTTGTAGGTAGGTTACCTTTACTTAGACAAACATTGAGGTACCTAGAAGTTAAATGAGATTACAGGGCTAAGATATATATGACTCCATCCACACAATTTATACCAGGCAGTGTTAATGAAGAGTGGTAGAACTCTATACGCTGGCATGGAAAGATGCTTATCATACCTCATTAAGTTTAAAAATTAAAATTACAGGCCGGCTGTGGTGGCTCACACCTGTAATCCCAGCACTTTGGGAGGCCGAGGCGGGTGGATCACAAGGTCAGGAGTTTGAGACCAGCCTGACCAACATGGTGAAACCCCGTCTCTACTAAAAATACAAAAATTAGCCGGGCATGGTAGCATGCTCCTGTAATCCCAGCTACTCAGGAGGCTGAGGCAGGAGAATTGCTTGAATCCAGGAGGTGGAGGTTGCAGTGAGCCAAGATTGTGCCACAGCACTCCAGCCTGGGCAACAGAGCGAGACTCTGTCTCAAAAAAAAAAAAAAAATTAAAATTACAAAACATTTGTATAGTATGTTACCATTTTTATAAACCATATATGTGTGTATATGTACATTTGCATAGGAAACAAAAATGCAGAAATATTTATTAATTTGTAGAACAGGTAACAGGTAACTTCTTTTCTCCCAAATACACTAAGTGATGATTATAGCATTAACTTGGCTGCCCTCATGCAGGGTATATAAAACAGAGAACTTATGTACCACATTTTCTTTCTCCAGTCTACCATTGATGGGCATTTAGGTTGATTCCATGTCTTTACTATTGCGAATAGTGCTGTGATGGACATATGTGTTCATGTGTCTACCTATCGGGTACTATGCTTATTACCTGGGTGACAAAATAATCTGTACAGCAAACCCCCTTGACACACTATTTACCTCTATAACAAACCTGCACATGTATCCCTGAACTTAAAATAAAAGCTTAAAAAAAAACATGTAATGGAGAACTGAAATTAAAAATAAAATCTGTGTGTTTCCATGGGTAAAAGGAAAGGGACTCTTGATTCTAAACTTTGGGCAATAAGAAACTATTAATATATGTTAGAAATACTACTAATTCATTTATGAAAATAAAGAGTACTTGGGTTGTTTCACTTATAGAAACAGACTATATATAAATATATATGAGATATACATATGTATATGTATAAGATACTATATACATATACTTTGTATATATATGTATGTATGTATTCAACATAACTTTAGGTGTAAGAAATTTAGAAAGTGGAGCAAAGCACACACACACACACACACACACACACACACACACACACGCACACACATAAAAATATTGACCCATAGATGGATCCATTATTTCCTTGGAGCAGCATATATTTTTTGTCTTCTAAGAACAATCACATAAGCAGAGATGCTAGCAGGTTTTCTCAAAAAAGAAAAAAGAAACAGAAAAGAAAAAAGAAAGGTTTTGATGTTTAAGTAAATTTGACAGACACTGTATACTGCGTCCTCTCCTTATGCTAGTGCTAATATGTATATCAAAGAAGTCCTGCAATAAACCCTTCTTTAATTCAGTATTTCTTTAATTGTGCAACTATATAACACTTCTGCCACCTGACTGTCTGTACCTGAGCACCCCATAGAATGCTGCTGCTTCCCTCGTCATAGGAACCTGGGCACTGGCAGCAAGTATTTTCTCATCTCTCTATCCAAAGATATTTCAAGAGCCTCAATTTATATGTCCCAGTATTTATACAGTCAAGATCCCCAGGAATGACTCTGATTGTCTCTATCTGAGCCACATGCCTCAAACAGTCACTGTGGAAAAGGGGATAAGATACCTCTATTAATCAGCCTGGATCCCAGGCTGAGCACTGTGGCCAGGGCACTGAACTTTGTGATGACCAGAATGACATGAATCACATTATTTGAGTGAGGAAAATGAGTTTCTGCAAGGAAAAGAAGGGAGTGAAAAGATGACAATACATAAGGTGTCTGACATGCTGCTTTACTCTCTTTATCTGCTTTTTTATTGAAACTCCTTGTGTGTTTTATAAAATAAATATGGTATATATGTACCATATATCCACTCTCACATTTTTTAATGTATCATGAACATTTATTTTCCCTGACATTAAATATTCTTCAAAAACATGAGCTTTTAGAACTGTATATATGCCATTTTATCAATGGACCATACTTTATTTAACAACTCAAAGGCATTTAGTTTGTTCCCAGTTTATGCTATGTTAAAAAAACTCTGTGTTGCACATTCTGCATCAAGAGTTCTTGGTTCAACTTGACATTCATATTCATAAGCCCATTTCACCATTCTACTCTAAAGGGACGTAGTACGGGAACATGGCTTCCTAGAAGGGCAGTGATGGTTATTTCTTACCTATAGGAGGCCTTGCAGCAGCCCATAGCAGCTCATGTGCAAAGAGATGAGATGCATACTAGGTAAGTGCAGGAGTTTTCCTGGTGTAAAAGCCTTATTTCCCTCAAAGAAGCCAGTAGCTCTTACAGCAAATCTATAAGCATAGCTTTCAAAGTCCCAGTAAAGGACACATCCAGTTACAAGAGCTCTACACTCAGAAAGACCAAAACTGTGGTTCCTATCAGTTATTTGTAGTTGTATTAGTCTAGATGCCACTTACCAATCCAGGGTCAGTTTTATTATAAATCATGTTGACTAGTTGTCAACATAGTTGACATACATTCTCGTTAGGTTACCGGATAACTGAAAGTCAAATTCTATGCTCCTGGTCCAGGGGAGATACAGAGCCAGGAAGTGGGATGATTAGGGAGTTGTGGAGCAACAGTGGCTGAAATGAGTTATGATTCATCAATGATCATGTTATGCTAGTCATTAGATGTTTGGTAAAATCATTTTTCTTTGAGCCCACCCCAGAGCATTTTTTGTTGTTGCTAATTTGTGAGTGCTGAGCAAAAGCAATCTAGTTCTACTTTTTGCTCTCTAAGGAGGTTAAAGCTTTCTGCCTTTACCTGAAATGCACCAAGCTCTTTCCATCAGTCTCATCCTGTTGTTCTTTTCAACTCCTAATCGGATCAAGGAACACTCCCTATCTATTTTTATTTCAAGGAATGTTAAGCAGATCATATTTTCAGTGGGTATTTTGGAATTCTTGCAAGACTGCCAGGAAATTGTTTGGAATGGCTGTAGCAAAAGGCAATGCTTCCCAAAGTGTAATATGCATGCAGATCTCCTGAAGATCTTGTTAAAATACAGATTCTGACTCAGCAGGTGGAGCCTGAGATTCTACCTTTCTAATAAGCCTCCACGTGTTGCTGATGTTGCTGGTCCATGGTCCCCACTTTAAAGAAAGGGCGAGAGCATTGGTTTTGAGTCTTGGCTGCTCATTAGAATCCACTAGGGAGCTCTTAAGTCTCCTGACACCCAGGCTGCACCCAAGCTAATTAAATCTGAATCACTAGTGTTGGGACTCAGGCATTTTTTTTTAATTCCCCCAGGTGATTCCAGTATTTGAGAGGCACTGGCTTAGAGCAAAAGGTTGGTAAATTGTCTCAGTTAGTCTCTTAGTTAGGTCACAAGCTAAATTCTGTAGTCATTGATGAGGCACCAGGTGTGCTTTTGGAAAACAGACCTCCTAGGAAGAGTAAACCCTACCCTGTCAAAGTCCTAAAAGAAGTCTAAAGATAGTTGTTAAGATTTTTAAAAATTTTTTGGTTTTGTTTTTCTTGAGTGTGTTTGTGCTTTCTCCCCTAAGAGCAGGCAGGAGTTCTTTCCTGCCATTAGGCTATCCTAATTTAAAGTTCCTGTTATTGATCTTGGACTCTTTTTTTCTTTCTTTTATTTATTTTTTTTAATTTCCCACACAACACCAGTGTAGAGCCTGGACTTTTTTGAAAAAAACTTTTCCTTTTCTGAAAGCTTCAGGCAAACTGAGGCTATAAAGCAAAGGTAAGAGGGACCTACTCACTGGCCTTGCCTTACAGCCCAACAAAATGAAATAATGGAGTCTGAGGTTTGAGATAAATATGGTTGCGTCAGGCTAGTGAGCTTTCCAAACTCCAAACTGATGAAAAAAATTGTACCCTACTGGAGTCCACTGTAATTAACTCTCGGACAGCATTTCCATTATAAATCTGAGTTTTAAGAGGTTTGTTACTCAGCTGTAAAATTGTGCTCTAGGCTATGGCTTGGTCATAGACAATGTCAGCTTGAAAGGGGTTTTAAAAATAAAAGAAGGTTTTTTTATTTTTCATTGAGCAAGTGAAATGTGGTTTTAAAAAGAATGAAGCATCCACTGTGCTCAAACATTCTTTGCGTCTCTATTTTTTCCCAAGTGGTCTTGATTTCTAACAAATGCAACCTAGTTTGTTCATATATTTTTAAACCAAATGTTTAAATTACCAAATGTTTGGAGGACTCTTTGAATTTAAAAAATACACTTTTGGGGTCACAACTCAATAAGAAGGGAGAAAAATGTTCTGTGCTATTTTTCCTGTGCAGAACTAGGGTGGGACACAGTTCCATTCTTTGAAGATATTGAGCCTGTTGCTCGTTTTTAAAGGTGGAGGCGGGTTGCAAAGGAAGGAAAGCTGAATTGAACAATAGGAAGCCCATTCACAATTTGTGTGCTTTCACTGAAAAATTTCCAAGGCTGTTTCTAAAATGTCTGTCATATGTCTATGTTAACATAAACATTGATCAATTTCATGACAGAATTTTCATTTTGTGAGACAGAGTCTTCCTATGCTGCCCAGGCTGGTCTCAAACTCCTGAGCTCTAACTGTTTTCTCACCTCAGCTTCCCAAAATGCTGGGATTGCAGGTGTGAGCTATTATACTATCCCCGGCCCTCATGACAGAATTTTTTATTTTTGCTTATTGGTGTGGGACTTTTTTTCAATGATAGCTGTCTCCCCATATTCAGAAAGGAACTGTTGCTTTTCTCCAGTTTAGCTTGTCCTTCTAATGGGTATATTGGGCAGGACAATCAGACTTCCCACAATGTCACCTAATATCTCTCCCTGGCATCCCATCTGCTCATAGTGAATGTCCTTTTCTCCCTCTTTGTCTTCTCCTTCTAACAATGGATACAGAACTCATCACCTTTACCTCATGCCTGACTGTGGCATAACTAAACCCCAGTTACACAATGGTGTGGCAGAGTAGCTCTGCCCCAGGGTTTCAATTTAGAGAACCTCATTACTGGCCAGTAGTGGTTGACCTGAAGCCCTAGGACTCCATGTATCCCAAAATACCTTACACAAGTGTGACTGATTGAAGTAAATTATTATTTATAACTGTATGCTGCAATCATTAAGAGTAATATTTCCTTTGACAAGCAAATAATATACAATTATGACATATAAAGATTGTGTAAGCAACTACTAATAGTAGAAATAAATAAATAAAGACAGGCATTAACTTTAAGAACATATTTTAGGCTCTTTGTCAACAATACTAAGGGATTCAAGGTATTCTGGCTATTACCCTCAATTCGATTGGCCATCTGTATTCTAACTAAAACAGGATTACCCCACATTTGAGTCCAGCTATCATCTCTAGGGAATAATGCCTGACCATCCCCCTGCACCCACCTATTCTGGATCAAGTGATCCTCTTGCCTCTCTCCTCACTCTTTTTACTGGCACTGCACATAGCTTGAGCCACATAGTTCAAATGTGGATCCTTGGAATTTTCTGTCTATTCTCCACAACTAGGATGAGCTCTTTGGGTTCAGAGACTATATATCTTATTCATTGTTGGAACCCTAGTGCTAGGACACTACCTTAGCACTATACTCAAGAATTATTTGTTATGTAAATCAATGACGAGATGAATAAATAAACAAAATTTAAATTTAGGGATTTGTGCCTAAATAACAACTCTTGAATTCAGTTGCTGGCATTCTAGAATACATTCTGGTTTTAATTAAATATTTGGAAAAACGGTCTTGTTTTATTTGACAAGGGCTCATTGCCTACTAGTAGCAATAATAGGAGTTATGGTAATAATATTTATTGAGTATTCAATTAGGAGGCACTCTTCGAAATGCTTTACCTATACTATCTCATCTAATCTTCATAACAGCCTATATCGTGAGCACTGCCATTATTCATATTTTACAGATAAAGAAACTAGCTACTTGCCCAAGCCATGGCTAGTGGTTTGAACCCAGCCATTCCAGTTTGAACCACCTTTAGGCACCATGCTGTATGGATGAGATAAACAGGCCCACTGATGTCCTTCCCTATGAGCATGTCATGGTTGACTCTGATTTTGTATCAGGGGATTGCCAGTCTTCAGCATTTAGTTTGGCAGCCACCATACTCCTTGTGAAGTCCATTTTCACTGACGTTCATTTTCCTTGTAGTGTGCACATTTTTTTTTCAGTTCTTTGCTGTTAGTGTTTTATGACTTGAGGAGCTTTAAGAGGCAGCTGTATTGTTAATGTAAGCCGTTACCACAGAGGTTTCTGCTCTTTTTCAGAACCTCATAATTTGTAAAAAGTTCTGGTTTGGGTTTTCCTCACATCTTATTGCTGACGGTTTTAGCAGTATGTGCAAACATTATCAGCTGTCTCCAGGGTACTGATTGAGATATAAATGTTTCTGTAATTGTCTAAGATCATTTGTCACTTTATGTAGTACAACTTGCTCATGTAGGTATGCTCTGCTTCCAAGTGATTTTTCTGGCCCCAGTGGGCTATAAAATCATTTGATGCTGCTGTAACTTTAGGGACAACAAAATATTAGCTCTGAATCATTCGCTTTTGTTAACTCACATTTTAAAGTTGCCCTTGTACACTAAGAAGAGGAAAATGGTAAGCAGAGATTCTTTTGTTAAATAGAAGAAAATAAAGGAATATTTTTCTCGTCATCACTTCTTTCCCTTGCTGATGATATCGATTTCCAGTGCTGTTTCTACAAGCTTTCTGCTGAGCTCTTTTTCATTTTAATGCATGGATATTAGCTATTTTTGCAAATAGTGGATCATAGGCAATATCAAAAGCTGCTCTGGCCCGCATTTTTCTTGAGCTAATAGCTATTTGAAAATTAAGCACTTGTCCAAGGCCACACAGTTTATTAGGACCAAAATGAGGCTAGACTCCTGGTTTCCAGACATCTAGCTTGGCACTCTTTTCATTGTTCTACATACTCAAGGTTTGTTTGTTTAAGATGATGGTCAATATTGTACCTTAGGAAGAAAAGTTAAAGAGAAATTCTCTTGCTAAATGGCAATTATTTTGAGGCCTCAAAGTCATCATAGAGTTAAGTTTCCAAAGAATCACACATACACACAGACACACACACACACAGAGATAAACACACATACAGGTAACTTAAGAACCTAGGATGAAGAGATATAAAACTGTATTTTATTTTTTAGCCAAATACTAGACTGACCTGAAGTTAACATTGAAAAAAATTATTTATTATATGTTTGAATGCCCTGAGTTACTACATAAACTTAGAAATGAGTAGCAATCTCTCAATTAACTGCTTTAGGTATTATTTTTCTCAGTGAAGTTGATATTCCAGTACTGTGTAAAATCTAGTTTAAAATTTCCATGATCCTTCATCATGTTTCCAAGAAGAATTTACAGTTTGTATGAGTTTGCCAGGGATGCTGTAACAAAGTACCACAGACTGGGTGGCTTAAACAATAGAAATTTATTGTTTCACAGCTCTGCAGGCTAGAAGTCTTCATAGCATTGGTACGGTTAGTTCCTTCTGAGGATTTTGGGGAAAAATCTACTCTATGCCTTTCCCCTAGCTTATGGTAGTTTTCTGGTAATTGTTGGCATTCTTTGGCTTGTAGAAGAATGACTATAACTTCTGCATTTATCTTCACATAGCATTCTCCTTGTGTGCATATCTGGGTCAAAATGTCCAGTCCAGTTATTCTGAGTTAATGGCACACCTTACTCTAGTATGACCTCACCTTAACTAATGACAGTTGCAATGATCCTATTTCCAAATAAGGTCATATTATGAGGTACTGGGGCTTAGGACTTCAATATATAGATCCAACCCATAACACAGTCTACTTAAGAAAAGATTAATGCTTTGTTTAGTGACATTAAACAGGAAAAATCTAAATATAGGCAGTATGGTTTCCCATCTATCTGGAAAGGAAGATGCAAGTGGCAAGTATTTACTTTAATCATTTACTATCATTAAATCCATCATGTACTTTTAAATAAAGTCCCTATAATTCAAGACCACACTACCTGGAGATTAAGAATATACAGAATTGTTTCATCACCTTGAGATACTGATTTGATTTTTATAGGCTTTCCTCTTGTCTATTTTTTTTTCCTTAGCAGGACAAATATTTTCATTTACTTTGAGTGAATTCTTGATAAGTTTTTGATCCTCAACTTCCATCTCCACTTTATTTAAAAGGTTATTTAGAAGGCAGCATTCTCTAATTCCCCACAGGCAGGTTATTATTCCCTTTTCTCTGCTTCCACAATATTAAGTACATGCCTCTATTGTAGTATTTTACATTCATTAAAATCATTTTTTTAATGCCTGACTCCTCCATTAGACTGTTAGACTGTGAGTAACTTGAGAACTGGATTGTCTATCTTATTTATAAGACAGTATATTATTTTCCTAGTACCTGGTAGAGAATCCTGGACATAATGCTTGGGATACATTAAACATCCAATAAATGTTCATTAAAGATGAAATCAACATAGAAGAGTTGATGGAGGCAGATAATTTTAGGACTAGAAGATGTCTCAAATCAAATGTTATCTAATATAAAGAGTATAATTGGATTGTTTGTAACACAAAGGATAAGTGCTTAAGGTGATGGATACCCTATTTACCCTGATGTGATTATTACACATTGCATACTTGTATCAAAATATCTCATGTGCCTCAGAAATATATACACCTACTATGTACCCATAAAAATTAAAAGTTTAAAATTAAAAATATGTATATCTAATATAGTCTATATACCTATTGTCTGGTCAGTGGTTTGTCAAAACACACAAATATAAAGTGGCAAAAAATTAACCCAAATTAGTATTCACGAAGCATGTATTCTCAAGAGTAATAGAAGAACCAATACTTAATTTATAGGGCAACAACTATTTGACAAATTCTTAGAAGCATAAAGCATATGGTCCCTTGAAACTGTGAAAGATTTTAAATAAAGTCTAAGCATTATAATTAGATAGAAAGCATTTCAAATTGCTTTACATTTTAAAACTTTTGGGAAGTCTTTTTCATGATGATGTAATTTCAAGTAATAAATAATATTTATTTGAGTAGATCCTATCTGTTACTTTGTGGCTACCTTGGGCAATAACTTTATCTTTCTTTGGGCTTCATAAAATATCAAACTATGAGTTGGGACCCTTTTATCTCCAAAACTTTATTATTCAAACATACCTCCTACTTTATATATTGTGTACTTGGTATATTCCTAGCATTTAGCAAGATACAAAGATCTTGATTGAAGGGTCCAAAAATGTATGAGACACATTGCCTCCAGGGACCAACAGCTGGATGTGGTTGCAAGACACATAAGAATGTGACTATTCCACAAGATAGATAAACCCTGATAGAGGCAAAAGATGGTGTTGTGGGAAAGGGTAGAACTCTCCTATATGCCCAAGGAAGCCAGAGAAAGTTTCCCAAAGGATAGAAACGTTCAGCCTGGGCTTTGATCTATGATTACTGAAAGGTTACCTAAGTAAAAGAGAAGCCGACTTTCATGGAGAAAGCCTGCTTGCTTTAAATTTGGTGGACTTTAAGGGGGTGTTCAGACCATTCATTTTTACCTCAACTTGACTTTGAATGGTTAGCAATTTCATGCAAGGAGAGCAGAGCCCAACCAAAAACACCCAAAGCCTCTTCCCATGCTCTTAGCCCTTGGCAACCTTTAATTTCTGCTTGAGCCCTGGATAGATGCTGAGCCTTGAGGACATAACTTGAGTTTAGAAGTTCAGTATCCAACAAGGGCTTTTAGCCATTGCATGTCCCCAAAAGCTAAGGGCAGATTGGCACTGTGGAGAAACATTTTCAGAAGCTCCCTGAAAAGGATGAAGGAGGTCAGGGCAAGTTTCTCTGCACCATAGAAGCCACTTCTTCCCTCCCATTGTTAAATATCTCCACCTTTCCACAGACACAGGGTGTCACCAGATCTTTGATCTGTACCCACTTACATGTCCTGTACTCAGGCCCAGTATAGACAGGCCTCTTCCCTGAGACGAGAGAGAAACAGTCCAAGTCCTTTTGCTACAGAGCAGGAGCAAAGTCAGCTTTCCTCTCCTGCATCAACTGAAGTTCAGTGTAACATGATACAGGATCACTGGTGACTGAGATGAAAAGAGGTCAAATGGAAGTGAACCCAAAAACAGTCAGAGGGAAAGTGGGAAATAGAAGGGAACTTTCATTTATTTAGTAGTTCTAAATTATAGGTGCATTTTCTTTCAGTCATTCATGCATTCACTCAACTAGTATTTGGGGGTAGCACTATATGCCAGGCACTGTAGTAGGCATAGAACATGAGCAATATAGGAATGCTCTTGTCTTTCACGGAGGCTTTATTCTGATGGGGAGGAGGGATAGTAATGAGGCAATCATAGATTGTGATAGGTGCTATTAAGGTGATAAACGGGAAATGTGATAGTGAGTTGTGATGTGATAATGAGGTTGATGAGACCTCAGGTGGATAATCTGGGAAGGCCTCTTGGAGGCAATGTCATTTAAGCTGAGAACTAAAGGATGAGTAGGAGACAGCTATGCGAAAAGTCAGGCAGAAGGAACTACAAATGTACAGATAACAAGAGCTATTCTCTTTGTATTTCACAACAACCACTTGGGGATGTCATTATTCTTCATTTAACAAGCAAGAAAACAGAAGTTAGAAAAGAAGGAAAGTGTAATGATCAGATTTCTCTCCTGTCTAATAAAGAGATTTTATGGAGGGATGTTTTACTAGCATCTTGCATGGCCACAGCACATTATCTCATGGTGACAAGGTTCTCTTACCTACCTGAGCCTTAGTTTCTCCTGTAAAAGAAGCATAAAAACTCACCTGTCTGAAGGATCTCACGAGGATTAAATAAACTAATAAACTGCTTAACACCATGCTGAACTCAAAAAAATGCTTCATCAGTATTAGCTTTTTCCCTTTTTGCCTTCTTTTTCCAGTGTCAGTCTAAAAGACACCAGAAAGTGTCTGGGATATGAGGTAATTATTCAGTGGCCATGTATTTCTCAGCTGTGAATTGTAGGGAATTCAATTTCAATTTTGCCTAATAGCCCATTTAGTGCTGTTAAAGGTCTAGAGTGATTCAGTGCCCTTTAATCGTGAGTACAGATATGTAGAAACACAAATGTCTTTCAGTGAACAGAAGGCTGACCTGATAGCTTAAACTGTGCTGGAAAGAAGTCAATGGAGCATCACATTGTCCGTCGCCAGTGAACACTGTTTGTCCTCTTCCAAGCAGTGGAAGGGAAACACAGAGAGGAACATGCCCAGTCATTTGTTTTCTTTTTCAACTATCCCTGAAAACCTTGAATTTCTTAACGGTGTCCTGGGGCTCTGTTGACTCTAAAATTGATTAGCAAGCTCCCTGGATACATGGACTGTTTTAGTAGCGGAGGTACACTCAACCTTTCTGCAATGGTACAATACGAAACAGACAAAAAGAGCAAACTGCTTTGTATAGGCTTAGCATTAATGAATTTACTCTCTTTCTCAGCCCCAGTATTTCCAATAAAAGTAGTGGATTTGGTCTTGTGGCATGGTCTCTTGAGTGAACGCTGAATTTATCCACTAATGGACCTAATCACTGTGCACACCAGAATATGTTTCCATCAAAAAACATGCCTCTTGTAAAGTCGAGAAGCTATAAAGTACATATTTTAATAGGAAAATTTAAAAATGAATGAGAGAAAGTCCTTATCTACCAAAAGCTTTTTGAAAACATTCACTCCCACTTCTTCTTGTCCTACCCACCTCCCCAACTAGATCCTCTCTCCTTGCTACCTCTTTACCATCAAAAAAAAAAAAAAGAAAAAAGAAAAAGCTAGAAAGCTCCACACCATATGTTTCTGTTATTGAACAGTAAATTTCTGGTTTTGTGGTTTATGAAAAAGTGTTGGAAGCATTGAGTGAGAGTTCTAGATATAAGGGCCTATACCACCAGGTAGTCTGCCCTTCTTTCTTTCCTTCCTTTCTTCCTTTTCCACTTGAAAAAGTTTTCTGCCATCCATTTTTATATGCCATTTTCTAGTATTTTCTGTGAAATATGCCCTTAGATTTCTAGCTAGAGGTTCACATCTAAAATATAAACCAAAGCAAAACTAGAATTGAGGAACATACTTGCTGTTTTCAAAGCCCGGTTGAGGACTGTTATCATGGGTTTTTTTTCCTGACATAATCCATACACAAATACTATTCTTCTTGTGAACCTTTGTGTGCAGTATTCTTCTCGACCCTGTAGGGACAGGTAGACAAGGCCCCATTTTTCAGAGCTGATAGCATACTGAACTCAATACCTCTATATAGAAAAAGAAAATTAACCACACCAAGTACTACGTCCAGTATAAGACAGTTACCAGCACAGTTACCACAAATGCCAGTAAGAATTCAGCAGAGAATGCAGAAAGAACTGCAGGCTGGTGCAGCTAGGGAGAGGCAGGATGAATTCTTCAGAGAGATTGGGTGGGTGTGAATGTAGGAAGTGTTTAGAGATAGAGGGATGGGAAAGAAGCAAAGAGGAGGGGGAAGACATTACCGGAGGAGGAAGGAACTGTGCGTGAGGGTCCTTGCTTCACAGAAAGGAAGCTCCATTTGGAATCTGTCCAACAGAGTGGAATCTTGGCACTGGTAGGTTTTGCTATGCTTCTGCCACACATGTTCTGCAGAATGGATGTGGCACTACCTAGTTGGAAGATTGTGGGGAATGACCAATGAGAACAATTTGAAACCTACTTGGCTAACATGTCCTGCTAGAAGGGAAAGCTAACCCAGATGGGAGATGGGGTGGCATCCAACCCATGATGGATGTCCTGGAAGGACAGGTTCATTGAAGAGGAAAATAATTTGGGTGAGGAATCAGTAAAAATATGCAAATGTTACCATTCAGGCTTAAGGGTGTATATTAAATGGGGCATTGTTTTCAAGGAGTCTGCCTGACCTCAAACTCTCCAGGAAGAAAGGTCAGCACATTGATTGCTCATGTTTCCAAGGTAGGACACGCTTGGCACCAACAGGTGGCATGTCTCCTCTGTGCTGCCTGCTGTCTGTGACGTCAAATCTAGCTTCAAGACATTCACAGCTGCTACAGAATGTTCTGTTTGAGAGTTCAGGAGGCTTTGTTGATTGGGACACCTAGATGCTGAAGACTGATAGGGATAGGGAGACATCAGAGGAGAGGGATTTCACAAAGCCTTTTGGAAGGATTAAACGTTCTAATAAAATGCACCTCCTGGGTCTGAGTTAAAACTCAAATGCTTTGCTAAAAATTATAAAATATCAACAACAGAAACCTCATAAACCCTAAATCCTTTACCTTGTAAGGTACCTCACACCAGAGACAGTGCATTGCATTGGTTTCAACGTCATTGCATTTTTCAGCAGAAAATCTGTTAGGTTTACCATGAATGTAGGACTACAGCAGGCTGTATTGAGTTTATTATGCAGTTGAGGTGGCAAATGGTTTTCTTTAATGATTTGCATCATCTTTATCTTCATTGTTGCCACCCCGCTTCTGATATTTTTCTCACTGAGGTGGACCAGTGCTTCAGATAATGAACTAGCATTTACTGTGACCTTGTTATACTTTATTACCTCCTTTAGCCACACATATCCCCAAACTCTTTACAAAAACAACCATTATATGTTCATGTTTTAGGGAGGTACAGCAATTTTGTTGTTTAGTATCAACTATGTCACCCAAACAACAGAGTAAATGGGGTAAACTGCTTCAAGTTAAAATCCCTCAAGCCACTGCCACACCACCAAATGAAAATTCATGGGTCATGGTGAGGAAGAAAAACTCTTGAGGTTTCACAAGGGCTTCAGGGATTTTAGCTAGAGCTGGATTTTTTCCTAAAACTTGTGGATTTTTAAAAAATGTGGGTGGAGGAGGGAGGCTGCCTTTATTTTCTATTTTGCTTCACCGACCATTTGGAAGGTTTATGCTGTATAAATCCTACAAGTATGACTCAATACGATCCTTCTAAAAGCCACTGATATTGTGCAAGAAGGCCGTGAAGAAAACATTTTAAATCTTAAGAATTCTGATGGTGAGGTACACCACAAAGCCTCCATTTCTGGAGGAAACCAACCCTATAGTGGGACCAAAACTGACAGTACACTGCTCACTTTGAATTTTTTTAAAAAATTGGTCAGGTCCCTCAAATTTAAGAATAATGAGACAATTACAAGGTTTCTGGTGACTGAAGCTGCTGCATTATAGGACTCATGAGAGTCCCCACAAAGGTCAGTTCCAGGCCTGGCCCTTGCTGTATGTTGCCCATTCTGTATAAATGCTACCCTTTGAGTTGTATAGTGGGCGGCCCTACCTGTGATGTCACAGGCACAGGACCTGATTTCCTCACCTGAATTCTATTCTCAGCTCTGCTCTTAAATTGCTACTTGACCTTTGACATTTGTGTAACTTTGGTTTTGCGTTATCTGCCAGTAATCACCATGGTCCCTACAATTTCTAACATTTTCTCATACTCATATTTTTACCTTCTATACAATATACCCTCTATTACATTGTGAGAATAAATAAATAAATATTATATATATCATCAAGAAAATATATGATAGAAATAAAATATATCATATATATAAAATTAAGGAAAGTTGTAATAGTAATAAAAGTAAACTGAAAGTATACTCAGGAAACCCATAAGAATTTTAGTTTTGCTAAAGCTTTGGGTGTTTATTCAACCTTCTTAGATACTTTGGAGTACCTTGAGTTTTAGTGCCCAGCATGGGGAGACATTGCATGGAAATAACCATTCCTAATTTGCTTAGTTGAAACAGAAAACAGGAGAGTCTGCTGGCAGTAAGACAAAATTATTTTCTTTCCAAATCTTAAGAATTTGGCTTAGGACTGGGTTTTGTCAAAGAATGTTCTTGCTGACATCTCATCCAGCTTCTTCCATCCCTTGAGCCCATCAGTTAAAACTGTTCGATGCTCACTGGAGCTAAGTCCTCTTGGGAGGCTTTTAATGGAGGTAGATTACTATTCATTTTAAAACAAAAAGATCAAATGATGAGTGGGCATGCATTGGGATAAAGCGATTTTTGTTTTGTTTTGTTTTGTTTTGTGGGAAATAACCAAGTCACTGGGAGTTTTTTCTAACAGAAATGTAAATACTGTGTTGACTATCTGTTCCCAGTTTTTTCTCATGAGGAAAAAGAGAAAAGGGAGGATTTAAAATTAATTACAGGCCAGGCGTGGTGGCTCACGCCTGTAATTCCAGCACTTTCGGAGGTCGAGGCAGGCGGATCACGAGATCAAGAGATCAAGACCATCCTGGCTAACACGGTGAAACCCTGTCTCTACTAAAAATACAAAAAATTAGCTGGGTGTGGTGATGGGTGCCTGTAGTCCCAGCTACTCGGGAGGCTGAGGCAGGAGAATGGCGTGAACCCGGGAGGTGGAGCTTGCAGTGAGCCGAAATCGCACCACTGCACTCCAGCCTGGGCAACAGAGCAAGACTCTGTCTCAAAACAAAACAAAAAAATTAATTATAAGGCCATGTAGTTAGAGGTAATTACAGGAAGAATTCCTTGCTTGCATGGGTTTTTAAATATCTGAACTAGTTGCCCTAGTAGGTTTGGAACGTTTATTTCTATAAATTTTCTAGAAAGCAATTGATTTTTTTTTCCCTTTACTTTGATTGTCCATCATTCCAATCAACCTGCAAGAGATACATCCACACCTGTAGCCATCCTGGTTATACCTTCTTCCTAAGGCTGGCTGAATTGCCCACTTCTCTGTGGCTCCATAGTACTTAGTACATACTACTCTCACAGTGCCTTTGAAATTATATGGCAGTTTGTGTGCTTCTCTAGCTACTAGTCTGTGAACTTCTTGAGAACAGAACATATGTTGTTTATTTTTATGCTTGTTTTTATTCTTTCAATCTTGTTTCTCAGTTCCTAGTATATCTGTTATCTGCCTGACAGATAACAGTATTCAATAAATAGCTGTTGAATTGAATAAAAATGAGTATTTATATAGATCAAATAGTTCCAATTCAGGAAATATGTCCAGACTTGCTTAACTAACTCTTAGGGGAATAGGCAGGAATCATCTATTCTCCTTGCTTCTGTGTTATCTACCAGACCTCCATACACCCCTACGTTTATCCCCACACTTTGGAACAAGTTCTACTTCTTGCCTCTTTGGTCACAGGGGAAAGATGTCTGATAAATCTACCCAGATTGAGTTGTAATTGACTTTAATATGTTTCCCCTGAGTGACTTAAGCACCTCTGGTTTATTTGAGCTCTGGGTAATTGTTGGTTAGGCTTTATAACTTTCAGTAAGGAGTTGACCTTGTTGGAGGTTTGAAGGTCATAATCATTTACCTGCCATTTATAAATTCTAACAGATACAAAGAGCCAAGTGGATATCACAGCATTATTAATGGAACCCTGTGGACTCCTAAAGAACAAAGCCCCTGCTAAAATGGGATGTGAGAACATGGCTTAAACAGGAAGCTGAAGTCCATGCTTCCTCTGACTTCTCCAGACATGGATACAGCAACTACCTAAGGGAAAAGGTGGATCTACATACAAAATTGATCCTGTATATTTCCTCCCACAATGCCATCAAAATATGGCTGGAAAATGGCACCAAGGCCTCCTAATTATCAAATCTGATAGTCATTTGTTTTATTTGATACTCAATTTGTTATTTGACTCTGTTGAATACATCTTTCTTGAATTTCTTTCTACCCTAGGCTTCCAGGATTATCTCTTCTCTCACCAACCATTCTTTCATGGACTCTTTCTTCTCTTTTCAGCCCATAAGTGTTGGTATTTCTCAGGGTTCTGTGATAAGCTATCTTCTCTTCTAATTCTACCCATAATCCATCAGGAATCTCATCCACTCCCATAGTTTCTAGTCTGTATTCCAATAACTCTGTGAAATTGATATTGCCAACCAGATCACTATTCATATTCTAGATCAATATGTTCTTGTTTGTTTTTAATTCCACAAATATTCAACAAGTTACTGTGTCATAGTAAACAGTGAGAATACAAAGAGTCTCTGCTGTTAAAAAACAGGTAATATAAACAGAGTGCAGTGGTAATACTCAAGAATATTTTGAAAGCACTAAATAAGAAAACTCAGATCAAACCAGGAAATTTAGAGGAAGAACTTAGAAAGAAAGGATGTCATCAGTGATTCTAAAATGCTAGTTAACAGCTTTGTTACGAGAGTAGAAGGAGTAATACCAGCAGAGAACACATAAATAAGGAGCAAATTTCTCCACATGAATGATCTGCAGATACTCAGAAATAGCATGTTTGTCACAGGTTAGGTTTCCCAGAAAGCAGGCTCTGGACAAGATTTGCATGCAGGAAGAGGGGATGCTCTTGGCTGGATACCTATGGGAGAATGAAAGAAACTGGATTGGGCTGAAGGGAGCTTGAACTGCCATTCAATCACAACAAAGTCTCTGATGATCCCAGTGAGACCTTTGCAGCTGCAATAACTCCTTAAAGTTCCCTAAATGGGAAGCAAAGGGACAGGCCTTTAGACCCTTCTATCACCCAGTCATTGGATGTGGGCTACCGCCGGGAAGGAGCATGACTTTGGGTAAGGCGGTTTTCTTGAGCTGAACATATGACCCTTAGAGGGAATGTCACTAAGAGCTGTTGGTTTCTAAAACTTCCTGCAGCTGGAGGTGTAAGTACTATAGTTTTGGAGGTAGAAATTTAGGCAGTATTCCATGGTATCCACTACGGTGTACTCCTTGCAACCATTCATACCCGCTTGCTTCTTATAATAAGTTCTAGGCCTTCAGGTGGATTAGTGAGATGAGCTACAGCTCCTGCCACTGCAGCTGGTCTCATGGCCTTAACAAATACTCATTATCCTTCTCCTCCACTATCCAACCATTCAGAATTCCCCTCACCATCAACTAGCACCTCTGCCTGTTTAGGTGGCTTACATATGGGATGATCTGGACATGGTTTTGAGCCCCATGATCACCACATTCTTTTCAGACCATAACACTGAACTTGTATTTTTATCATCAAAATTGAGCAAGAGAGTACCAAGAGACACCGAATTACTTGACTGGTGAACATATTTCCTGCCCTCATTCTGTAGCAGCAGCCGAACCTGTGCCTGATGATCCATGTTGGTTATATTTGCCAGGATGTTGACCCTTCTCACTTCCTGGGTCTTGTCTCAAGCAACATGACATGACGGGGTGGTAGCCATAGCTTGAGATTTAATGGGCTTCTTATTGTGTTATCTAGATGAAGCATTTCCCCTTTAGAAACCAGGATTTCTAAGTCGCAGAGCCCAGAGTTGTAGGAACAGCTGTGGGTCACTTAGGAGTGATGATAAGTGGGATCACTTACACTTTTACACCTTCCCATGTTTTATTCCTACTGGGGACATACATAAAGTCTACACTACATCCTGAAGGATGGAACCTCTTCCTTTCAGGGAATTCTCCCTAAAATGTTACCTCAAACTGTACATTCAACAGACCATTTTATTACTCTGTCAAGCCAGAACTTCCAGAGCATGCAGTGTGTGATTATAGTAATGGATCCCATTTATGTGTACCTTCAATGTGCCTTCAAAGTGTACTAGGCACTTTACATCACCGTAGTTCCCACTTTTGAACCCTAACAAGATCATGACCACTTGATATGATCTTTGTACTAGACTATCATTAGTCATCTCTTACCCACATTTTACAGATAAAGAATCTGAGTCTCAAAAGAGTTCTCTACTTCACCAGTGTCACATAAAGTAATAATTGTGAGAGCCAAGATTCAGACCTACTCTAAAGTTAGGGCCCTTTCTACTGTATTGCTTAACCTCCACACATATAATAATCTCTTTTAATCCTTACGAGGATATTGTAAAATATGTGTTATTCCTGTTCTCCATATGAAAAGACAGAGACTCCTTCTAGTTAGGCAACTTGCAGTGGGTTATGCCCCTGGGAAGTGGCTCACCTGGGACCCGAACAAAAGCCTGACTCTGAAGCCCAAGTTCTTTCTACTGTACTAGTTGCCATGGTGTCAACCTAGCATCAGAGAAAAGTATCGGAGAAGAAAGGAAAAATAAAGGTAGTGGGTGTAGATCATTCTGTGATGTTTAACTTTTAAGCCATATAGGCAATAGGGTCAAGTTACTTGTTTTATATGTGTATATTGAGGGTTGATGGGTGGGGCAGAGAATAGACCCTCTTGATTCAGTGCTACCTACAGCTTTTACAGAAGCACCAACCCTGAAACTACACTCTGCACTTCTTACATCCACTTTAAAGAATTATAGATTTTATTGAAGATATTGTGGGAGATATATGAGAAAATTTACATTGCATATTACCCAGAAGACAATTCAAGATCCCATGAGACATCTGAATGCTCCCTAAAGTCTTTCTTTGGCTGCATTGCTCAGTGGGGCTCCCTTCTCTCTTTGACATTTCCATCTCATGGATCAGTTCCTTATGTTCCAGTCCCTTCCAAAACCTGGGCTCTAGACGTACGCTACAAAGCCCCATGCGGTGGGGGCTTCTCTCACAGGGGATGGGGCAGCCAAACCACGTTGTCTTCTCCAGTCACTTCTATCCCCAACTACAAATTCTGGTGAATAAAACTCCCTCTATCTCAGTCTCCATGATATGGGAGGAGTGTGCATACCAGAAGGCAGAGGGAAAGTTGCCATTTGGGAGGTAGATTATCTTTCTTCCTGCTAGGCAGACCTCTAATGAATGAATCCTTTCCCAAATGCCACTCAGACTGCTTAAGTCCTGAAGGGTCTATGCCCCTCATCTTTGCACCCAAGGACCTTCGTAATCTGACACTTGCATCTCACCTCTCATATCCTAGCCTCTGTATTCCTATTAGTCCTACTGACTCCTGCTAGTCCCAGGTTTAGGCCTTTGGACAACTTTTTTCCTGTCACATTCTTTCCTCCTCCTGAGCCAAGTTCTTCCTGCCTTTTAAACAGCCCCATCTAATTCTGCTTCCTTCACAAACCCTTCTCTGACAACTCTCCCTATCCTAACCTCTCCTGTTTGTTGTTATTTATACTCACAACTCATGTACAAAGATATGATATTCTTTAATTATTTTTAACTAAATATATCTTTGCACATAAACCTCCATTTCTGCTAATAGTGTTAATCCTGTCAACTTACTGTAAACAAGTCATTTCCAGGGTCAGTTAAGTTTTTCATGTTATTGATTCAAGACTCCCTTCCATCCTTTTCTTCTCTTTCTTTTGGTTGATGATCTGCATTCCAACAAAGGGATTGGCCTGTAGGCCCCCGTTTTCCTCACTGACCAATGACAGTTTTATGTGGTCTGTACCACTATGTATTGGTATCTCCTAGTATTCATAGTCCTCCTTTGACTTCCGGTTTTATGGCCTTCTCAGTACTTATGGACCTTCCATAAAGGAAACAGAAAACCTCTCAGCTGCTCTCTTCACACCCTGCTGGAGTGTGAAGAATCCTGTGAGTCTGACCTGAGATTCATCTGCCCTGACACTACCTCACAAATGGCACATCAGAATGAGGATTTTCTGATAAGCACAGGCTTCCCTGGCTCTACCTTGTGATTCTCTTCTACCACCTATCTCAACTTATCTGATATGTTATGACATCTAGTTCTAAAGAACTCAGCCTAGAGTGGGAGACAGAGAGCAGGCAGCCCATGCTCATGTCTAGCCTTTCTTCCATCTTTTGACATTCTCTCTCCAATCCCCACCCCTTGTTCCTAGAGGGTGTTGATTTCCTTTCTACGTCCTGTATCATGTTCTGTAGCTTACCCTACTGTAAGATTCTTATATAACTTCCACATGTTAAGGCTTCCAGACTTTACTACAACTTACAGATCTTTTTTTTTTTTCCTCCCAAAAGGCCCAGCTCTTACAAATCAAGAGCTCCTTGGCTTTCAAAACTGTTAACTCTGTCATGAATTTCAAGGACATATTTTGGAACTCAAAGCCAAGAATTGGACATTTTGTTCTTGATGCTTCTTTTGTGTCCTACCCTCCCAGAAGCAGAGAGCTCCAACATTCTTTAGTTTAATGTTAGAAACACCAAAAGATACTTAAAAAATTAATAAAAGGAACAATATATTTTATTTTATAATATTTTGCTATACTAGAAGCTCATGCCAGTTTTCTACTTTTAATTATATGGCCTTGCATTTTTTAATTGTCCTCTAATGTCTTAACTCTAGTATTAAAAATTTAAGATTCCTTAGGGCAGAGAAGTCAGAGACGTCTTTTATATTCCTCAGAGCACCTGGATTGATTTGTTAGACAAATATTTATTGAGTACTAAGAGCTGTTGACAAAAAGACAAATGAGAGTCCTTGCCCTTCATGAGTTCATGAGTTAATAAAAATTATTATTAGTTAATCTAAGGAAAGTGGAAAGTTAAAACCAAGATAACTCAGAGGAGAAGGCTATAAATTAATCAGAATGAGGAATCCAAAACAGCTTCCTAGAGAAGGTGACACTTGAGCTGGGTTTTGCCTGTTCAGCTAATTAAACACGTGGAAAAGAGTTTTATTCCATCCACAGGGATCTGGATACATGAATAAATGGAAGTATGTTTGGGAATAACAAGCATTTAATTGTGCCTAGAAGAAGTAAGGAGTCTTTGGTGATCAGAGAGGAAGGCAGTGGAGAGATGAGATTAGTATTCAATAAATAGATCCAGAGGACATTTTGTGCTTATTAGTTTGAATTAAACATTGTGTTTTTTTGTTTTGTTTTGTTTTGTTTATTATTATACTTTAAGTTCTAGGGTACATGTGCACAACGTGCAGGTTTGTTACATATGTATACATGTGCCACGTTGGTGTGCTGCACCTATTAACTCTTCATTTACATTAGGTATATCTCCTAATCCTATCCCTTCTCCCTCCCCGCACTGCACAACAGGCCCCGGTGTGTGATGTTCCCCTTCCTGTGTCCAAGTGTTCTCATTGTTCAATTCCCACCTATGGGTGAGAACATGCAGTGTTTGGCTCTTGTCTTTGCCATAGTTTGCTGAGATTGATGGTTTCCAGCTTCATCCATGTCCCTACAAAGGACATGAACTCATCATTTTTTATGGCTGCATAGAATTGCATGGTGTATATGTGCCACATTTTCTTAATCCAGTCTGTCACTGATGGATATGTGGGTTGGTTCCAAGTCTTTGCTATTGTGAACAGTGCCTCAATAAACATACATGTGCATGTGTCTATATAGCAGCATGATTTATAATCCTTTGGGTATATACCCAGTAATGGGATGGCTGGGTCAAATGGTATTTCTAGTTCTAGATCTGTAAGAAATCGCCACACTGTCTTCCACAATGGTTGAACTAGTTTACAGTCCCACCAACAGTGTAAAAGTGTTCCTATTTCTCCACATCCTCTCCAGCACCTGTTGTTTCCTGACTTTTTAATGATCGCCATTCTAACTGGTGTGAGATGGTATCTCATTGTGGTTTTGATTTGCATTTCTCTGATGGCCAGTGATGATGAGCATTTTTTCATGTGTCTGTTGGCTGCATAAATGTCTTCTTTTGAGAAGTGTCTGTTCATATCTTTTGCCCACTTTTTGATGGGGTTGTTTGTTTTTTTCTTGTAAATTTCTTTGTAGATTCTGGATATTAGTCCTTTGTCAGATGAGTATATTGCAAACACTTTTTCCCATTCTGTAGGTTGCCTGTTCACTCTGATGGTAGTTTCTTTTGCTGTGCAGAAGCTCTTTAGTTTAATTAGATCCCATTTGTCAATTTTGGCTTTTGTTGCCATTGCTTTTGGTGTTTTAAACATGAAGTCCTTGCCCATGCCTATGTCCTCAATGGTATTGCCTAGGCTTTCTTCTATGGTTTTTATGGTTTTAGGTCTAACATTTAAGTCTTTAATCCATCTTGAATTAATTTTTGTATAAGGTGTAAGGAAAGGATGCAGTTATAGCTTTCTACATATAGCTAGCCAGTTTTCCCAGCACCATTTATTAAATAGGGAATCCTTTCCCCATTTCTTGTTTTTGTCAGGTTTGTCAAAGATCAGATGGTTGTAGATGTGTGGTATTATTTCTGAGGGCTCTTTTCTGTTCCCTTGGTCTATATCTCTGTTTTGGTACCAGTACCCTGCTGTTTTGGTTACTGTAGCCTTGTAGTTTAGTTTGAAGTCAGGTAGCATGATGCCTCCAGCTTTGTTCTTTGGCTTAGGATTGACTTGGCAATGCGGGCTCTTTTTTGGTTCCATATGAACTCTAAAGTAGTTTTTTCCAATTCTGTGAAGAAAGTCATTGGTGGTTTGATGGGGATGGCATTGAGTCTATAAATTACCTTGGGCAGTATGGCCATTTTCCTGATATTGATTCTTCCTACCCATGAGCATGGAATGTTCTTCTGTTTGTTTGTGTCCTCTTTTATTTCGTTGAGCAGTGGTTTGTAGTTCTCCTTGAAGAGGTCCTTCACAGCCCTTGTAAGATGGATTCCTAGGTATTTATTCTCTTTGAAGCAATTGTGAATGGGAGTTCATTCATGCTTTGGCTCTCTGTCTGTTATTGGTGTATAAGAATGCTTGTGATTTTTGCACATTAATTTTGTATCCTGAGACTTTGCTGAAGTTGCTTATCAGCTTAAGGAGATTTTGTGGTAAGACGATGGGGTTTTCTAGATATACAATCATGACATCTGCAAACAGGGACAATTTGACTTCCTCTTTTCCTAAATGAATACCCTTTATTTCCTTCTCCTGCCTGATTTTCCTGGCCAGAACTTCCAACACTGTGTTGAATAGGAATGGTGAGAGAGGACATCCCTGTCGTGTGCCAGTTTTCAAAGGGAATGCTTCCAGTTTTTGCCCATTCAGTATGATATTGGCTGTGGGTTTGTCATAAATAGCTCTTATTGTTTTGAGATACATCCCATCAATACCTAATTTATTGAGAGTTTTTAGCCTGAAGGGCTGCTGAATTTTGTCAAAGGACTTTTCTGCATTTATTGAGATAATCATGTGGTTTTTGTGTTTGGTTCTGTGTATATGCTGGATTATGTTATTGATTTGCATATGTTGAACCAGCCTTGCATCTCAGGGGTGAAGCCCACTTGATCATGGTGGGTAAGCTTTTTGATGTGTTGCTGGATTCAGTTTGCCAGTATCTTATTGAGGATTTTTGCATCGATGTTCATCAGGGATATTGGTCTAAAATTCTCTTCTTTTGTTGTGTCTCTGCCAGGTAGAGGTGTTTATAGTATTCTCTGATGGTAGTTTGCATTTCTGTGGGATCGGTGGTGATATCCCCTTTATCATTTTTATTGCATCTATTTGATTCTCCTCTATTTTCTTCTTTATTAGTCTTACTAGCATTCTATCAATTTTCTTGATCATTTCAAAAAATCTGCTCCTGGATCCATTAATTTTTTGAAGGGTTTTTTGTGTCTCTATCTCCTTCAGTTCTGCTCTGATCTTAGTTATTTCTTGCCTTCTGCTAGCTTTTGAATGTGTTTGCTCTTGCTTCTCTAGTTCTCTTAATTGTGATGTTAAGGTGTCAATTTTAGATCTTTCCTACTTTCTCTTGTGGGCATTTAGTGCTATAAATTTCCCTCTACACACTGATTTAAATGTGTCCCAGAGATTCTGGTATGTTGTGTCTTTGTTCTCGTTGGTTTCAAAGAACATCTTTATTTCTGCCTTCATTTTGTTATGTAGCCAGTAGTCATTCAGGAGCAGGTTGTTCAGTTTCCATGTAGTTGAGCGGTTTTGAGTGAGTTTCTTAATCCTGAGTTCTAGTTTGATTGCACTGTGGTCTGAGAGACAGTTTGTTATAATTTCTGTTCTTTTACATCTGCTGAGGAGTGCTTTACTTCCAACTATGTGGTCAATTTTGGAATAAGTGCGATGTGGTGCTGAGAAGAATGTATATTCTGTTGATTTGTGGTGGAGAGTTCTACAGATGTCTGTTAGGTCCGCTTGGTGCAGAGCTGAGTTCAATTCCTGGATATCCTTATTAACTTTCTGTCTTGTTGATCTGTCTAATGTTGACAGTGGGGTATTAAAGTTTCCCATTATTATTGTGTGAGAGTCTAAGTCTCTTTGTAGGTCTCTAAGGACTTGCTTTATGAATTTGGGTGCTCCTGTATTGGGTGCATGTATATTTAGGATAGTTAGCTCTTCCTGTGGAATTGATCTCTTTATCGTTATGTAATGGCCTTGTTTGTCTCTTTTGATCTTTGTTGGTTTACAGTCTGTTTTATCAGAGACTAGGATTGCAACCCCTGCCTTTTTTTGTTTTCCATTTGCTTGGTAGATCTTCCTCCATCCCTTTATTTTGAGCCTATGTGTGTCGCTACATGTGAGATGGGTCTCCTGAATACAGCACACTGATGAGTCTTGACTCTATCCAATTTGCCAGTCTGTGTCTTTTAATTGGAGCATTTAGCCCATTTACATTTAAGGTTAATATTGTTATGTGTGAATTTGATCCTTTCATTATGATGTGAGCTGGTTATTTTGCTCGTTACTTGCAGTTTCTTCCTAGCATTGATGGTCTTTACAATTTGGCATGTTTTTGCAGTGGCTGGTACCAGTTGTTCCTTTCCATGTTTAGTGCTTCCTTCAGGAGCTCTTGTAGGGCAGGCCTGGTGGTAACAGAGTCTCTCAGCATTTGGTTGTCTGTAAAGGATTTTAATTCTCCTTCACTTATGAAGCTTAGTTTGGCTGGATATGAAATTCTGGCTTGAAAATTCTTTTCTTTACGAATGTTGAATGTTGGTCCTCACTCTCTTCTGGCTTGTAGAATTTCTGCCAAGTGATCCACTGTTAGTCTGTTGGGCTTCCCTTTGTGGGTAACCCAACCTTTCTCTGTGGCTGCCCTTAACATTTTTTCGGTCATTTCAACTTTGGTGAATCTGACATTATGTGTCTTGGAGTTGTTCTTCTCGAGGAGTATCTTTATGGCATTCTCTGTATTTCCTGAATTTGAATGTTGGCCTGCCTTGCTAGGTTGGGGAAGTTCTCCTGAATAATATCCTGCAGTGTTTTCCAACTTGGTTCCATTCTCCCTGTTACTTTCAGGTACACCAATCAGACGTAGATTTGGTCTTTTCACATAGTCCCATATTTCTTGGAGGCTTTGTTCATTTCTATTTACTCTTTTTTCTCTAAACTTCTCTTCTTGCTTCATTTCATTCATTTGATCTTCAATCACTGACACCCTTTCTTCCAGTTGATCGAATCGGCTACTGAAGCTTGTGCATTCATCATGTAGTTCTCGTGCCATGGTTTTCAGCTCCATCAGGTCATTTAAGGACTTCTCTACTCTGGTTACTCTAGTTAGCCATTCGTCTAATTTTTTTTCAAGGTTTTTAGCTTCTTTGCGTTGGGTTCAAACTTCCTCCTTTAGCTTGGAGAAGTTTGATCGTCTGAAGCCTTCTTCTCTCAACTCGTCAAAGTCATTCTCTGTCCAGCTTTGTTCTGTTGCTGGTGAGGAGCTGCGTTCCTTTGGAGGGGGAGAGGTGCTCTGATTTTTAGAATTTTCAGCTTTTCTGCTCTGTTTTTTCCCTATCTTTGTGGTTTTATCTACCTTTGGTCTTTGATGATGGTGACGTACAGGTGGGGTTTTGGTGTGGATGTCCTTTCTGTTTGTTAGTTTTCCTTCTAACAGTCAGGACCCTCAGCTGCAGGTCTGTTGGAATTTGCTAGAGGTCCACTCCAGACCCTGTTTGCCTAGGTATCAGCAGCAGAGGCTGCAGAACAGCGAATATTGCTGATCAGCAAATGTTGCTACCTGATCGTTCTTCTGGAAGTTTCATCTCAGAGGGGTACCCAGCCGTGTGAGGTGTCAGTCTTCCCCTACTGGGGGGTGCCTCCCAGTTAGGCTACTCGGGGTTCAGAGACCTACTTGAGGAGGCAGTCTGTCCGTTCTCACATCTCAAACTCCATTCTGGGAGAACCACAACTCTCTTCAAAGCTGTCAGACAGGGACATTTAAGTCTGCAGAGGTTTCTGCTGCCTTTTGTTCGGCTATGCCCTGCCCCGAGAGGTGGAGTCTACAGAGGCAGGCAGGCCTCCTTGAGCTGCAGTGGGCTCCACCCAGTTGGAGCTTCCTGGCTGCTTTGTTTACCTACTCAAGCCTCAGCAATGGCGGGCGCCCCTTCCCCAGCCTCACTGCCGCATTGCAGTTGGTTCTCAGACTGCTGTGCTAGCTACAAGAGATGAGCAACGCTCTGTGGGCATGGGACCCTCCAAGCCATGCACGGGATATAATCTCCTGGTGTGCCATTTGCTAAGACCATTGGAAAAGTGCAGTATTAGGGTGGGAGTGACCTGATTTTCCAGGTGCCGTCTGTCACAGCTTTGCTTGGCTATGAAAGGAAATTCCCTGACCCCTTGCACTTCCCGGGTGAGGTGATGCCTCGCCCTGCTTCGGCTCACGCTCGGTGTGCTGCACCCACTGTCCTGCACCCACTGTCCGACAAGCCCAGTGAGATGAACCCGGTACCTCAGTTGGAAATGCAGAAATCACCCGTCTTCTGTGTCGCTCACGCTGGGAGCTGTAGACTGGAGCTGTTCCTATTTGGCCATCTTGGAACTGCCCATGGAATTTAACTTTGAAAACTTAATATTACAAAAGGATTTTCAGGAGGGTGGTGTCATATAAAATACGCAGTTTTAGAAAACTCACTCTGGCCGCAGTGTAGAAAATGTAAAAAATTGGATTGCATTTTTATGGAAAATCCCAAATTAAAAGGGACAAAAGTCATAAAATTGTAAAATTTGTATAGCGAGTGGTAAAAACCCAAATAAAGACAGTGGAATACAAAGGAGGGGAAGAAATAGAAGATGTTTAACAGATTAAATCTTCAGGCGTTGGATGTGGAAGTTGAGAGGGAAAATGAGACTGAAGTTTCTAAAGTCATTGAGCAATTGTGAAAATACTTTCAATCTCTGGAACAGGGAACGCCAAATTTAAGGGGAAATACCAAGTTCAGATCTGGCTGTATTAAATTTGACATACCCAAGGGACATGAAATAGCAATGTCTGGTGGAGGGCCTCATGTTAGGATCTGTGGCTCAGCCAAGTGTTGGAGCTGGAAGTACTGATACGAGCTAACATAAAAGTGACTGCTGACAGCAGGCGTGTGGGCAAGATGATCAATCAGGAGGACTGTGGCAAGGAGGAGAAGTCAAAGGCAGAGGGAAAAATCCTAGGGAACGTGGTGTAGGCAGAAGAAAAGAATCCTCAGGGGCAAGTAAGAAGGAACTGTTGAGAGGAAAGGAGGAGAGCCAAGGAGATAGGGCACAAAATCCAGGGGTGAGAGAGGTAAGAAAAGTGTGGTCAGCAGAGACCTGTAAAATAAAAACAGAAAAAAAAATTAGGAAGCAAGTGAAGATTAAAACCATCAGGGCTCTGGCATAAGGAGAGAATAGGTAATGAGTTCTGCTTTTTCTCGATTAACAAGAAACAAAAGTGGAGGTGTTGAATTAATGGAGGGATTAGAAATCCATTTTTTAATTTTAAACCATATTCTGAATTAACCAAGTTTTAATCAGCTGAATGACCAATCATGTGAATATAAGGGAAGTTTAATTTGGTATTTCATATAGAGACACCCTTTCTAAGTGAATGAAGTTTTGGTATAATAAATAAACAATATACTTAAGAGAAAAATATTCCACAGCTGTAAACTATTTGCTTTCTCTTTACCTTCTGGAAATGCTAAGTAACAACAAAATCCTACATTGAAACATATTATCCTACATATAAGAGAATTATAACTCCTTTTCTGTTTATATATCATGTGATTGAAGACCTATGAGGATCCCTGTCTCTGCAGAAGGGCTTCTAAATCTTTCCAAATTCCAAAGAAATGTTCCCAGCCTCCTGTCGTGTTATGTGAGCCTGTCATTCCTGTTGCAGAGAACCTTTTGGGAGGGCATCACCATAGGGGATAGTAACCCGGCTGCCTCTGCCTCAAAGAAACTATTTTCTTCCTTGCACATAGAATTTTCAAGTTGCCTGCATGGGTAAAGGAAGGCATCACAGCTAGGAGCTGCCCTCCTCAGGAACCCCATTAAGACCTGTCAAGGTTTTCTACTTCCTTTCTATGTTTATTAATCCTAGAATAAACACGGTAACATTTGAGAGCAGCCATTGCATCTCCGGCCCATCTTAGATGTTTGTTTGATTGTATTTCCGATGCTTACAGAACAATTTCTTCCCCAGGAAATGTACCCCTTGAATTACTTCACATACCATAGAAAGGCAGCCCTCACTGCTATGCCTGCTAAGCATTCTGTGACTGAAGAGAGCGCACCCAGGCTTCACTGTGAAAATAGAATTAATTCTAAATATCCCCAATCATGAAGCAACAGGCATCCCAAACCTAGCATTTACCTACTCTGTATAGAGAGGTCAGCACTGAACACTGCAGATATGCTAGGAGACTTTTCAGACTCATAAGTAATGTGCCTTTCAGTATCAATTTGTTTTATCCTGAGAAAAATGCCTACTTCCCAGCACAATAATGTGTTCCTCTCATTCTTTAATCATCATGATTAGCAAAGCACGATTTCAGTGAATCACCATCAACTTGTGTATACGTAGGTGGGAAGGAAGGGCTTGCTCTAAATAAGTGCTGCATAGATAGAAACTCAGAAGAATAGGAAGGCACAGTCAAGTGAATGTTCTGATACAATGATTGTTCAAGGTAGGGATTTATAAATTGCCATGGGTTCCCAAAAGCACGTTAATAGGCATAGAAAAGAAGAATTTTCCCCTGATCTGTTTGTAAGTAACTAGGATATAAGTCACTCGATCCAATGAAAAGATAACACTGAAATATCTATTATTTATAACACATGAGTTTTTAAAAAAGGAAACTGATTTATTTCTCTCAACTCGACTCATAATTCCATAAAAGGATTTTTTTGTGCTAATTTATAATTTGAAGAATTGTCACCCTTAGATCGTGTACACTGATGATTCCCTTCCATTCTTTCTTTCTCCTGAACAGAACCTGAATTTGTTTGTTTATCCACCCCTCCCTCAAGCATCTCAGCAGACTAAGGGGACACTAACTAGTGCCAGGGACAGTTCTGAATTTCTCAGCCAGGCAGGGTCATACTGTCCTGTAGTGACTGCAACTGGTCTAGTGTTGGTCATATGCCCTAGATTCAGTCTAAATGGAAAGATTTTTATTGCCTAGTTGGGAAAGAGGTTTCCTTTCTCTTGCTTCACATTGACTAAGGAAGTGTGTAGTCCTCATTGCTACCAGAAGATATCTCATCACCAGCAGGCAAACCTGACTGAGGAAAAGCCAACATCAAGGATTATAGAGGTAAGGGATACAAAGAATTTAGCCTAGGGGGACATGATATGGCCAGTGAATCAGCTAAACTTGAAGTCTTTCCTCCATGGGGGCTTCCCATTGTATGAGATAATTTATATCATTATTATTTAAGTCAAAGTGAGTAGCACTTTTCTTTCTTTGCACCTGAAGGTATCTTGAATTATACATTTGTGATTACCATTTTATATGTATGTCTGGGAAGACTGCTGGTAATTGAAGTCAGTGACTACTCTAGTGCTTTGATTGGAGGAGTATCAACCACAGATGATCTTTTCTACCAGTCTAATGCCAGACATGAAATCCTGACCATTAATGACTACTTTAGCCTAAAGCACTGTGTATCCATGGAGGTGCTTGTTAAGATGTCAAGAGGACTGACATCTTCAACCATTAATTCCCCACAAACATTTATGAGAGTACAAATGTTTGTTGAGTACACTTCAGAGAGACTCAACAAACATTTATCACATAAATCCTGTTAGGACCTATAAAGAAAATAAGATTGAAGATGAAGATATAGCCCTTGCCCTCAAAAAATTTATAATCTAGTGGGAGTGACAGATATGCACACAGTGATATAACAAGCAGTTCATGAAGGAATCAATGTGCCATAGAGAGCCTTGAGAACAGCCTTGATTACTTCTTACAGGAGGAATTGGAGAAGATTTCAGACAGGAAATGACATCTGCCCTGGATCTGGGTAGATAGGACTTCAAGAAATGGGGAAAGGACAGTCCAGACAGTTGAAACTTACAGTGAATTTAATTGAAACAATAAAGCAAGACCTGGATGTGGAGTGTTAGTCTGGACTCAGAGCTGGGAAACCTGTGTCTGAGTTTCATCTGTCACTTTGGGCAAATCACTGTGTACTACTCTGCACCTTGGTTTCCTTATTTGTAAATTGAGGATTTGAGTGGGTCACCTGTAAGGGATCTTCCAACTCCAGCGTGTCATGATTCTACAAATGTCTCAAGAGATGCCAATGCTATACACAACCATGAATTTTATTCTTTGGCCAAAAGTTGACCCTAATCATACTTATATATTCCTTTTTAAAGTTTGTGCTGCTTGAATAGGTCCTCAAAACCACCCTAACTCACAAAAATGTTTTCACCAGTTAATAAACAAAAGCATAGTGGCAGGATGTCCCTTTGTTGGTTTCAGAGCCTAAAATTGCTCTGAGGAAAACAGGAAGACATTTGTTATATTTCCTACTATCTGATATACTTACCTGGAAGTGTTGGGGCTTATAATGCCAGCAATAATTAGAAGGTTAAATTAAATTACACCAGCAACATCTGGAGCTTAAGATTACATGTTCTTACTGAATATCCACTAGCAGCCCTTTGAGATTTATTTAAAGCAGCCACAGTAACAATAACTGTCTAATCTTTTATGACTGAAAAGAGTCTTGAGTTTAGTGTTGTGCTTTTAAGGTTAAAATGGGTTTTGATATATGAGAAAGGGGAAATAAACAAAACGAGATGTAATAGGGAGCAAAACTACTGGGCTGCACATGAGAATATGTTGGATTGACCTGTGTGTATCAGTACAAGTTCACTTTTGCCTGTTGGTGCTGCAACTAAGGCGCCCCCACTCCCACCCGCCCCCGGTGATATCAGTCAGTTACTTGTTGTTGTTCTTGGCAAAATACAGAAATCGATTCTGGTTAACCTAAGCAAAAGGGAATTTATTATGATAATATGGATATATATATTAAGTGCAGCCTGAAGAATTAAAAGAAGACTAGAAGATTGGGCTTGGGAATGCACAGAGACCAAGGAACCTCCAGTGAGCCAAGAGGAGCAACCAAAGTTTCCAGTAGACTTCTGGTCAGCCCACACTGTTGAAATAAATATTATCACCTGTATTCTTTTATTCTTATGCCAGCTGTTTAAAGGCAAGGGGTGAAACATTCACCCAAACTCAGATCACCCACCCATTCTGTGGTTCTCGAGAGAGAGGGAAAGAAAGGATCTGACCTTTTCTGCTTCTTTATTGGAAGCCTACTCTATTACCAAGATTACTTCTTACACAACAGTAATAAACAAATTCCTAAAAGCTGGCATCAGATGGGGGAACAAATGCTGGGCAGTCAAAAAATGACAAATGATCTGTAGGTAAGTTTTAATGTCTTCAGTTATAAGTAGCATAAATTTTTATTAAAATATACATAAATAAGAAGGGAACTTATTCATTTATATAACAAGAAGTCTGGAGTGGGGGCAGTCTTTAAAACTGATTGAATCAGCAGCTCAATAAAGTCACCATGCTCCAGGTTCTTTCTATTTTCTCCTTCTGCCATCGTCAGAGTGTCAATTTTGCCCTCTGCCTGGATTGACTCATGGCTGCAAGGTAGATGCAGCAGTTTCAGGTATCACATCCAGATATGACAAAGTCTGAGGAAGGAATGGGTCCATCTTTTCCTGAGCTTCTTTTTTTTTTTTTTTTTTTAGGAGTTTCACTCTTGTTGCCCAGGCTGGAGTGCAGTGGTGCAATCTCAGCTCACCGCAACCTCCGCCTCCTGGGTTCAAGTGATTCTCCTGTCTCAGCCTCCCAAGTAGCTGGGATTACAGGCATGTGCTACCACGCCCAGCTAATTTTGTATTTTTAGTAGAGACGGGGTTTCTCCATGCTGGTCAGGCTGGTCTCGAACTCCCAACCTCAGGTGATCTGCCCACCTCGGCCTCCCAAAGTGCTGAGATTACAGGCATGAGCCACCACGCCCGGCCTCCTGAGCTTCTTTCTTAGGAGTGGAGAAACCTTTCCCAGAAGCACCCAGCAGATTTTCCCTCACATCTCATTGGGTAGGATTGGACCTTGGGGGCATTCATAAGAACTAGGGATGAGAGTACCATGATTGGCTTAGACTAAATAACATCCTCCCTCTATTCCCTGAAAATGAGGATAAAGTCAACCTTGCATGACTCATGAGTTACATAGGGTTAATGAATGGAATCAATGTTTTATTTGAAAACAGGGTGTGGAAATAAGAATTGGGAAGGCTTCCAACTGTGTCTAGCACAGTCCATTATCCTGGAATCTGGAAATGCTTTGTAGAAAACTGGTCCACTGGGTAAACCTTGAATTGGATTTCCCCCTAAGACATAAAGCTTGGATACAATGATTGTAATAATTCTTATTATAAGATAAATATCTTGGTTCTAAAATAAATTGTACCATAAATTTGTCTGGTTTTGAGCAATATTGTTGATTTAAAATTCTGCCCCATCTATTTGGGGCATTAAATGCAATCTTTTATTGATATCTTTTCTGCAAGCAAATGTTAATGAAAGGTTGGACTGGAGAGGCAGGCAGGCAGGAAGATGACTTCCCGCCTTCTCTCTTCAAGCAGATTGATACTTCTTTATACCACTCACAGATTGAAGGCCAACAGTCTATCACTTTCCCATCAAGAGATCCTTGTTACAAAAAATAATGCTAAAATGTCTTAGTTTTATAGCTAGTATTTTTCAGGCAGGGCATAATGTGCAATTTTCACTCTTGTTCATGAAGTTGTTTAGTATTGTAAATTATACATTAGCCCCCAAACTGCTGTAAGCATCACCTCTATTATTTGTGTGTTTCATCAATAAATCATGCCATTTCAATAATATGCAAATTTCTACCAACATTTTTTTGGTCTTGAAATTACAAAGCGCAAGCTTGTATCAATAATATATGGAAATGTAGATTGTATCTGCAAACTGATTTTATTATTGGGCACTTAATGGTAATAAAGTATAATGTTTAGTTGGCTGACTTCTTTATGAAAATATAAAAATGGGTCCCAAGCTTTCCTGCATTCCCTTTAAAAAAAAAAAGACTTTTATCTAATTATAGGGGTAAATGATAGAATTCTGAGGGACAAAGACCAACTTGACGCCCAAAGAATAGTTTTATAGAAACAAATCTGTTAAAAGGCACTTAGAGGTTTGTCTGTATTTGGGACTTTGTGGATGCATATAATGGTCTGTATCCTGGCAACATTTCTCACTAGTAAACTGAAAATTTCATTGCTCCCAATATACATATTAAATGGTAAAAGCTTGGATTGATTAAGAAATATCATTGTGAGTGGCTTTGTCAATCTTGACAGGTATAAAATATACAACTGGCATAAATCTGTGGATTTGCTGTGGAACAGGGGGCTAGAATTTGGTTTTGATTCAGAACTGCCCTGGCCCGAGGTTATACCTGATTGAAAGTAGCAATATGGATCTTTGTAGGATAGGGAATAAGAGGCTGCCGGATGAGTCTCTTGCTGACCCTCTGTGTGGCATCCTACACATGCAGGGCCTCCATCCAGCCCCTGGGTCTCATCACACTTTTACTTAGTAAAGGTAAGTTACCTTATCAGAACTCAGAATGAGCCCACAACACCAACCCAGTGGCTGACCCTCTCTGAATATAAGGCAAGGGATTACTCTTTACTTTCCCATGTCCCTTTCTTTCTTGTCCTCACATCTGGCTTCCTACAGTCCCTTACCAACACTCTCATGAGTGTCATCATTCTGCCCCAGGATCCTCTCATCCCACTTCCCTGGCTCCTTCCCACCTCAATCTCCCTCCTAATGTCATCAATTCTTAGTGTTAAATCTGGGATTTTGCAGAGAGATCACTCATTGATACCCTTTCATTTTACTGATAATATAATAATTATTATAATTGTTATAACATTAGTAACCAGGAATGGAGTATGGAGTATGACTGTAACAACAACATGGATAACAACAATAATAATAAAATTGCTTTTATTATAAGGTTTCCACATGGTAGCCACTGGACTAGGTGATCATACATGGTTTCTCTTCTTTAATCCTCTCAGCAGAACTATGAGGGGTCACTATCATTATCTCCACTTTGTGCCTGAATATTATTTTCCTTTTGCCCTGCAGCTGTGTCCCTTTTGCTATCCAGCTATCTATTGAGATAGTTTTTGTGTTGTCTGGAAACTTCTAATTCCAGATGCATTAATGTTTCATTTTCTTAAGGCTTTTCTTATTTTATACCTCTGCTACCCTCAAGATTCTTAGGATGTTGTTTTTATTTAAAGTACTGAAGTATTCTACTAGTTCTACTGTTTACTTATAATTTTAATTTTTTTGGTCTTTTTTTATTTTTTTAATGTTTTTGGTTTACCCCCAAATATTTGGTAATTTGATTTCTGTCTCTTAGCTTTTGGAAATCTTCTTGGTGGGGGTGGTATGGAGAAGATGTAGATTCTAATTATTGGTGCTCTAAAATAAAAGGAAAAGGAAATAAGTATGCTCATTGCAGTGTGCTGGAAACTTTCCCTCTAGGTTTGGAGGTGCCTTGCATTTCCTAAAGGTCTCCAGTTATACTGAGTGGTGCCTGTCTGCCAAGTACCAGGGCCCTTTCTCTGTATTTCAGCAAATGGAAGAGGCAGAGAAGGAAAGTAACAAGACAGCTGATCAGAATTTAGTTCACTGACTAGTCACACAGAGATGCTTCTGCTACTTATATTGGTTTACACTAAGTACACAGCACATTTTTAACTGCTCTGTCCTTTACAAAGTGCTCTTCTGCTTGTATTTGGGGGCACAGTTTCCTCCAGTCTTAGTCTTCATCTGATTTCTGACTTTCACTAATGATTCAAAATCTCTAGCCCTTTATTGGCACAAATTCCTATTTTCTACTGCTATGTGGTTTAATATTTTTTAATACCTTTTCTATCACTCAAGGAATTTTGTATGGGAAGAGGCAGAGATTCCTTGATTTAATCAACTATTTTAATGCAATCTTTATTCCTATTTCACAGATTAAATAACTTTAGTTAGCTTAAAGAATGTACCCAAGAATCTCAAACTCTAGCTATTCTAACCAAATCCTCTGATGCTAGAGCCTGTGTGCACAAATAATATGTATTCTGATTTTTAATACAGGCTTTTAAGTTTATGTATAATCACATACAATGGCTCGTTTTATCCACACAGTATTACCTGTAAGGTATAATACCATGACTGTTATCCCAGTTTATTGATAAGGAAACAGATTCAGCAATGTTAAGCAACTAGCTCAGAAACTCACATTTAATAGTGTCATGTAGCAAATATTTTTACACATGCATCAAATAATTAACACCACATAATAAGAACTCTGGGTACCAAAAAAAGCTTTGCCTCCACACTGCAAAACCTCACAGTGTAGAACCCAAAGTAGAGCTCAAATTTCCTAATTCTCAACCAGTTTATGTATGTTTATATTAGGCCTTGGTCCTGTTGTTATTCTTTTTTCAAAATTATCTTGTTAATACACCCACACACACCCTTACACTGTTGGGAGATTGCAAGTGGCAAAACCTGGCTTGTTTTCGATATGACTACATCGACTAGTGCATTGATGTTTCATGCAAGCATACATCAAAGAATTAGCCCTTAGGTTTGCAAAAGATTTCCAATATGGCCTCGATGCTCCAAAAGTTATACATCTTTGTTTTAAGGTAGTTGTGCAACATGCTTGGAAATAAAAGAGAAAGAGCCAGCTGTATCAAAGAGAAAACCTCAACAAGTCAGAAACTTACTAAAGAATCTATTCAACTGGGGAGTCTGGTAGACCAGGCTGCCTCTAGACACTTCAAATAACACCAAGCTTCTCTTAAGCAACAACATTGCACTGCTTGCTTCCAAAAGACTGTCACTATCAACCAGAGATAAAATAGCAAGCCTGGGATGAAATAATTATAAGCATATTGCATTACATTATTTTGATTTCAGCACTGTAACCTAGGTCCTTTTACTCTCAGTGGAAGAGTATAAAGGCAGAAAGCATTAAATATCAGTGATGACGGGTGTGGCTGAAGTAAATGCCATTGCCTCTGCTGAAAAAACAGGTTTGATCTAAGTACTCACTTACTCCCTTCATTAGTTATGATTGCTAATATTACATTGCATTCATTACATTCCTACTACCTAACTTCTGTTGTTGTACTAATGAAAAGCAAAGGAAGTAAATTAATAGGAACAATCATTTACATTTGAAACTGCCTAATTATAGATAATTTTTAGTAAAATTGCCTCTTTTAACTCCAATCAAAATATTGTAAAATAAATATTATGGTATTTAGATGATATCTAAATTATGATAATTCGATAGGAAGATAAGGGAATATATTCTGAAAGGTTAAGTGACGTTCTCTGGGTAGCACTGCTTGCAAGTGATCAAATGATGAAACCAAAACTCATACTCTAGCCATCTCTCTCTGAACCCTCATGGTTATACCACACTGCCTTGCTTCCCTAGCAATGCTCAGAAGAACAACTCTGGACTACTGGAATTTTTCATCTTTCAGAAAGGGACCTTCCACCTTACAGATATTTGGGTCTTAGCATTCACTGACATCACAGAACTCTTGGAATTTCTCTGTTCTGTCCTTCTACCTCAAGTCATCAGACCTGTATATCCAGCAAAAAATCACAGAAATATGTAAAACAATCTGGAGTTTCTCTTTATTTTACCAAAAATAATTTTCTTCCTGTGACCTTTAGGTTAACATGACTTTTTAGTCAGTTATTTTAAGTGCCAGCTATTAATCTTTTGCCTGAGTAAACACAATGTCTAATGTTTAATACTTATTAAGAAATTCAGCATGGCATCACTAAGAGCTATACATCATTTAAAAATAGGAATTTTCAGCTAGTTGAAAAAAATCTCACTTCAGCTCTGCAGTAGCTATGATTGAATTTGCTTATAAACAATAAGATGTATTCTGGAATCTTGGCCCCATTTAAGAGATTGTTAATTGCCAGCATTCATTTCATCTTGAGGTTTCAGCCCATTCATAGAATGCCCCTCCAAAAATTGAAGACAAAATACATAACCATAGAGTCTTACAGAGAGTCAGATTTGTATCTTCCTTGGCATTTTGTTGGAAAACTTTCACTTTAAAAAATGCTTTACATTCACTAAAATAACAAAACCAAGAGCTATAGCTCATAAATCAACAAAGGAGATAAAATAGGAGTCATAAAAAATACTTGGTTAATCCAGAAGAAGACAGAAAAAAAAGAGAAAAGATGGAACAAGGAATATATGGTGAAAATAGAAAACAAATAGTGATAGTGATAGACCTAAACCTAATTATACCAACAATGACAATAAATGTAAGTGGTCTAAATGCTCCAATAAAAAAACAAGGATTGTTAGATTAGATTTTTAAAATCAGGACATAACTATATGCTGCCAAAAACAAACACACTTTAAATATAAAGATACGGCTAGATTAAAAGTAAAAAGGATGAATAATATATGCCATGCTAACACTAATCAAAAGAAAGCTGAAGTGGCTATATAAACATTAGACAAAGTAGGTTTTAGAACAAAGAATATTAAAAGGGTTAAAGGAGATAATTTCATAATGATAAGTGGGCTAATTCAAAAGAACAAAACAGTCCTAAATACATGTATACCTAATTACCAAATTGCAAAATACATGATAATGAGGAAAAAAAATGATAAAGCCATAAGAAGAAGTAGACAAAATCCACAATAATTGCTAGAGTTATCAAAGCCCCTTTGTCAATAATTTATAGAACAAGAAGATATAAAATCATCAATGATATAACACTATCAATCAACTTGACCCAATTGATTTATAGAACATTTCACTCAACAACGACAGAATACACATTCCTTTCAAATGTACATGAAAAATTTACCATTATAGACAATATCCTGGGCCATAAAGACATTGTCAGTAAACTTTAAAAGATTCAAGTAATACAAAGTATGTTCTCTAAATACAGTAGAATTAAATTTAAAATCAATGACACATTTCTGAGAAATCCTCAAATATTTGAAAAACTACATAACATACTTCCAAATAGCTCAAGGGGAAAGTCAACAGGGGAAATTAGGAAGTATTTTGAACTGAATTAATGCGAAAATACAACGTATCAGAATTTCTGGGATACTGCTAAACCAATATGTTGGAGGAAATTTATGTGCTAAATGCTTATCTTGGTAAAGAAGAAAGGTCTCAAATCAGTAACCTCATTTTCTACCTCAGGAAGATAGAAATTAAAGAGCAAAGAAAGCCCAAAATTAGAGGAAGAAATGAAATGATATAGCTTAAAGTGGAAATTAATGAAATAGGAAACAGAAAAACAATAGAAAAACAAGTGAAACCAAAATTTGCTTCTTTGACAAGATTAAGTAAAATTAGTAATTCTCTAGCCAGACTGATCATGAAAATAAGAGACACAAATTGCTAATATCAGTAATGAGAGAGATGACGTAATTACCAAGTCTGTAGAGATACTGGTATATCTACACAATAAAGAAATATTGTGAACAGCTTATGCCTATAAATGTGACATTTAGATGAAATGGACACATTTCTTGAAAAACACAAATTACCAAAGCACACTCAAAAATAAATAGATAACCTGAACAGCCCTAGACCTACTAAAGAAATTGAATTTGTAGTTAAAACCTTCTAACAAAGAAAATTCCAGGACATATAGTTTAATTGGAAAAATTCTACCAAATATTTAAGACATAATACCAATCCTACACAATTCTTCCAGAAAATTGAAGTACTAGAGGCAATACTTTCCAACCTAATTCATGAAGCCAGCATTACTCAAATATCAAAAACAAAGACATTGCAAGAAAACAGAACTACAGGTCAATATCTCTATAAAAAGAGAAAAAAAATTCTGAAAAACATTGTAGCAAATTTAATTCAACAACATATACAAAAGACCACGACAAAATGGGGTTTATCCCATAAATGGAAGGTTTGTCTAACATTCAAAATTTAATTTAACTCACCATATTAAAAAACTAGAAAAATCTATGATCATCCCAGTAGATGCAGGAAAAGCATTTAACAAAATCCAATATCTATTTCTGATAAAAACTGTTAGCAAACCAGGAATAGCAAACCAGGAATAGAAGGGAACTTTCTCAATCAATGGCCATCTGTGAAAAACCAACACCATACTTCGTAGTAAAAAAACCAAATGCTTTCTTTCCTACTACTGTTGAGTACAAGATAAGGATGGCTGCTGTTACTACTTTTGTTCAACATTTAACTAGGGGGGTTAGACAGTACAATAGGGAGAAAAAGAAATATAAAGTATCCAGATTGGAAAGGAAGATGTAAAGCTGTCTCTATTTACAGATGACACAAGTGTCTATATAGAAAATTCAGTGAAATCCACAAAAGCAGCTAGTAGAATAAGTGAGTTGAGCAAGGCTGCTATCTACTAGAGAAATATGCAAAATTTAACTGTATTTGTTTATATTAGTAATGACAATTAGAAATAAAAATGTTTAAAAGAATACATTTATAATAGCATTTAAAAATGAAACATAGGAATATATCTGACAAAAGATATATGAGATATATACATGGAAAACTATAAAACATTACTGAAAGACATACAGAAGACCTAAGTAAATGGACAAATAAAAGAAAATACCTTTTTCATGGCTTGGAAGAATCAATATTCTCCCCATATTGATTTATACATTTAATGCAGTCCCAATCAAATTCCCTACAGGTTTTTTGTGGAAATTGAAAACTGATTCTAAAATTCATGTGTAAATGCAAAGGACCTAGAATAGGGAAAACAATTTGAAAACAGAACACAGTTGGAGAGCTAACATAGCCTGATTTCAAGAATATCATAAAGCTATATGGTATTGGCATACAGATAGACAGGATCAGCGGAACCGAATAGAAATCATTTCACTTGTATATAGACAATTGATTTTTGACAAAGATGTGAGAGCAGTTCAGTGGAGAAATGACAGTCTTTTCAACATATTGTGCTGGAGTAATTGGAAGGCTATATGCATGAAAAAAATTATAGAATAAAAAATGAAAAGCTGAACTGTGATCTTTATCTCACAATGTATAAAAATTAACTCAAAGTGAATCACAGGCCTAAATATAAAACCTAAAATTACAAAACTTCTAAAAGAAAACATAGAAAATAAATCTTTATGGCTTGGGATTAGGTGAAGATTTCTTAGGTATAACACCAAAAATATGATCCATAAAAGAACAAATTGATCATTGGATTTGGGGTCAGGAAATGACTCCAGCCACCTTTGTCTTTTTGAACCCTGGAAGACAGATGATGAACGTGAACTCCAAATTTATTCAACATTCCTGTTCAGGAAACTAAAATTTGAATTACATTCAAAGGAATTCTTTTTGTTTGTATGTTTTTATTTTCCAATATAGCAGTAATGACTAAACTTTGTATAGCAGAGTTCAAGTTATAGATGGATTTTCTATATATCATCTTGATTACACAGCAGCTTTGTAAAGAGGATGTTGTTAGTATGTCCATCTTACATATGAGTAAACTAAGTCTCAGATAGGTTTAATTACTTGTCCAAGATTCCACTGCTAGAAAGTGGCGGCCCTGGCTCCAACCCAGGTTTCCTGACTTCAGAGCCTGGTTGTTTTTCTCCTGTTTCACTTTGCCTCTCTTTACAGAATGGTGAATTGGTCCCTGATTTTTTTTAAAGCTTCTTTAAGTCAGTTCTTACTAGATGAGATTAATGAAAGCATTAACTCTTTTAAGACACCAGAATATTACTTAGTAAGCCTTTATCTTTCAAACTCACCATGGCTACCATCCATGTTTGCAAGTGTGGCTGAAAGGAAAAAATGCACAACCAACTGCCCTTTCCATCTTGAATAGAAATAGATTCTGCCTTCACCTTTAATGACACATTGGCACTGTGTACTCAGGCTGCTGTAAATTAATATAATTCCCAAAGTGACTACCAAATGCCCATGGTGTAACCTCTTCACACAGTAGGATCTGATCTGATATTCCTCTGATGTTGTCTAAATAGATGAATCACTTCAGGGAGTGTCCCTTTGAATTCAGTGCTCTTGGCATTTGCCCCAGTTCTATAATAGCCACATACCCCAGGGGTAAAGTAATGGATCTCTGGCAATCTGGCTGTCCCCTTTATTTCTCTTTCACATTTGTTTACACATTTGTGACTGTCCTCTGAGAACAGCACAAAGTAGAAAGGATAATATCCTCCCACTATCCTCTCCAAGGGTCAAAACCACATGGACAGTCTTATCAGTCTCAGTCAGATTAGTCTTCGGTTGTGCTCTTAGACACAGTTAAGCCATTTAAAGCCTAAGTAGAGTGTCGTTAACAGAATCAAATTTAGACCAGCACATTTCTTGCAAAAGACAAATTTGAGAAAGGTAAATGAATAAAAGTGAACCTTTCACATTATAGTCAAGCATTTAACATTTGGAAGGAGGTGGGGGACACTTTATAAAACTACAGAAATGCAAAAGTGTGTTTTCTTATTAGTAATAGTCCTAGCTCTTTTCCTTGGAAAATAAATTCAGTGTTACACTTGCACATCTTCATGAGAAATGGAAATGGAGCGAGAGATTCGGGAAATTATGATCAGAAATAAAATTCTTTTAAATGCTAACATACAGATCTTTTGTCCAATGTTAACAACAGTCTTTGCCCTTTTGCTTTGCATTATTTCTGCCTTTAAACCTCTAGTCTTTTTTTTTATTGTTCAAGGTATGTCCAGTCTTCATAACAATTCTGACAGAAACAGAGAGTTGATTTCCACTCTACTGTCTCCTAGTAAAGGCAACATAGTACAAAGAAAACGTAAGCATATCTAAGCTGTCTCTGCTACTCAGCTTTTTGACTGGGAGGAACTTACTTAACCATGCTGTAGTTCAGTTGCTTCCTATATGAAGTGAGATCATAAGCCATGGATCATTCTGAGAACAACATGAGTTACTATAAAGTATGTCAAATGCACAGCATATGGAAGATATCCAATCAACATCATTTGTATCTTTTCCCTTTAATGACTTTAAGAATATGACTGATTTCTCTCTGTTCTATGGAGTTGTTGATACATTTTCCTTTATTTGTATCAAATAGTAAGTAGATTTTTATTTGGCCACCAGAATTCAACAGGAATAATGCAATCTCCAATTCCTGTACTATAGTTGATTATGGTTTTCTGTTCTTTGAACTTGAAAAGAGATATGATTTTCATGCCTGCATCTGGAGTTTACAAGTTGAAATGTGTCAGGTAGGTGAAATATCTTACTTTAAGAGAAAGAGCAGTTAATATGCAAATATTAGATATTGGAAAGAGATCAACAATTGTCCACCCTTGGATGGAGGCAGAGACATGGATTATCCAAAATCTCAAATAATTCTTCTTGTTCTGAAATGCCATAAAGAGCCAGCCACCCTGTCAAAGAAATATAGACTTACCCCTCAATGCCATACCCTGATTCCACTCCAGCACAGTAGGACTTTTGGCATTCTAACAGATCAGTAGAATCCACAAGGCTGATAACCATAAGGTAATTGTAGGGATAATGAGTATAGTGTGGTAGTAAAGATTAGACGCACTAGTCCTTGCTAACTGTGTGAATTGTGATAAAGATTAAACAAACCTCTTTCTATTTAACCACGAATCTCCAATTTTCTTTTTGCAAAATGGTGGTAATAATGGTACCTGTGGGGAGTACCAGACACATATAGATGCTTAATCAATATTAGATACTGTTTTTATTAGTTACTAAAAGGAAACCATTTCCTGTTTATGTAATTCTAACCACCATTACAAAGTAAAATAATGTAGGCTCTTCCCATCAATTTACTCCACCCATTTTAGCTTTTCTTAGGTTTAACTGATCTTTATCTGACATCTTTCTGAGGGCTTCCCCTCCCCATGTACTACTGTTACCCCCTAGGATCTTCACACTTATGAGAAAGCTGTGTTATGTGCTGGTTAAGAACAGGGCTGAACTTGAACCCTGGCTCCTCCTCCTTACTGTCTTTGGTGCCTTGGCCATCTCTAAGAAGGTATGTATGGAAGGGGATAATAATAGTACCTGTCTCATGGGGTTGTTGTGGTAACTGAGTTAATACATGCAAAGCATCTAGAACAGTGCCAGGCAAGTAGTATGTGATCTGTGAGTGATAGCTATGATTAAATGCTAGCAATTAGAAATAACAAAATTTCTTCATCTTTTTTCTCTTCTAAAAACATTTGCTTATTAAGGGGGCCTGACTTCCTCTTGTGAATTTTTTTTCCCTGTATCTCCTCCTTTTCTTTTTCCCAACAGTAAAAAAAGGGGGAATTGGGGGGAATGTTTTCTATATATAACTTACAGCCCTCATAAGTTGTCAGTACAAATGTCCTATGTTACAATATTGAAGACATAAATGATGATGACTCCCTCCTTGGCCTCTATTCTGTGTTTCCCACTATTCACATGAGCCTACTTCATTGGAACAGGATTTTGGTGAACTGCCAAATGTGCCCCAAGTTTGACATGGTATGACCTTCAGTATGGGTTTTAATTCTTGTGTACTTCTCTGTGTTCCACATTAGACTGTGATCTTCTTGAGTACAAAGAGCCATATTCTAATTTCATTGTGTCTACAGCACCTAATACACATACCGCTAAACTGCCATATAACAAACTAAATGAATGAATGAAGTCATATTGAAAGTATACTATTCTAGCCCTCTGTCCAGCAACAGAGTAAACTTCCAAGTTAGTTTTGGGATAATTCTGGAACTTTAAAATTTTCAGGGACACTTGTGCATTCTATTCTAGGTCTTTCTCCCTCCCTAATTTTATCATTCCTGCCACAGTTCATTGACCCCCTACTCCAAACACACTTTGTGTTTTCCTGTATCTGTGCCCTACTCTTACCATTCTTTTTGGAATGTCTTTTTCTACTTATCTGAATCTTTAGCTCACACCTCACATCAACGTTTTTTTCTCTACCCTAAGTGTAAGTCATTTCACCTTTTTCTAACCTTCTATAGCAGCTGATGTCTAAACCAATTAGCTGTCACTTAACACATACAGTTTTGTATTTTTAGCTATCATTTTTAAGAAAAATACTTAAACAGATTTTAAATTCCTTGAGAGCAATGATCATGTCTTATACTTCTGTACCTCATACTAGGTGGAATACCCAATAAATCATTGTTAATGAGGTGGCTTACTCAAAGCCACCTTAGACATACTGCCAGGCAATATAAAACTAAATGCAGCATAATGAAAACATTAATTTGTGGGTAAATAGGAAGATTCATTGTACAGAAACACATTAGGACAAAGACAGAAGTTGCCAGCAGTTTCAACTTTATTAGCTCCTTTTGACTTTTTGCTTTATTTGTATTTGGTTTGATGCATCTTTTAATTTTTGTTTTATTTATGCTTTGGGGCAGGGGTAGTGGGGAAAAGGCATTTAACTTTACTCTAAGTCTAGTTTTATGTACTAACAAAAACTCTACTGAAGAATTGTTTATTTTACAATGAAACATTTCAAAACAAAACGAGACAACTAATGCATCTCTGCCATCTGTTCTGATGAAGCGTGGGGAAAGAATAGATGGGGGTGAAATATTATATGCACAGTTCCCTTCCTCCCCTTCAAAACTTTCAGTAACATGCTGCCAATGGCTGTGGCATGGATATCACCCAGTTTTACGGTGTGTGGCAATATATTTGAGCATCCTGATTATCTTAATACATGGAGCTACCAAATCCAAAGCAGTGTGAAAAACGAGCAGGATGCTGGAAGGTCATGTAAGTTCTTGTTACATATTTTATATTCTAGTGAATGAGTCTTTTAAAAATGTAGATGAAGAAAAAAGCATGACCAAACGTTGCTCCAAATCTCAGAGCAGCACAAAGATCTTGTGCCAAGGACCAAGGTTGTCTTTTATACTGAACACTTCCTCTGCCCCAGTGCTCAACAGCTCGGGTCCTATGCATTTTCCTTACTCTGCATTCACGCGTTAAAAATTTTTATATCTAGTCATCGTGTATTTACTATCATCTGAGTAATGTGTCAGCATTATATGGAGGCTAGATTAGCAGCTTCTTTTACTCGTTACCCTATTGACATTTGCCTTTGATTGTATATCCATAAAGGAGAATCAAGTCCCATTTGTTTTTAGATGTGATAGAACACTTTATGATTGGTGTGGGCTGCCTCAAGTCATCAGCTGGGCATAGAGCCATCTCTTTTAGGTAACCTCTACTTCAGCTCAGTTTGCATGCTGCTTTTCTTGTGGTCTGCATCTGACAGATGCATAGTCCATGCATTTTTATGAAACTACATTCAAGCCACCTATTCCTCTCCTCTAGTTATCAAACACCTTTTCTTACCATTCCTGGATTATTTCCTTTATCCAGTGTTGAACTTCCAGTTTTTCCTTGCTTCATCCAGTCTTCCAGAGTGTCAAAAAGAACTGATATTTTGCACATTCAGCCGCTATCTCCATTTTCCATTCACTCATTTATTCATCCCTCTGTCAACTTATATAGATGCACCTGGTATGTGCCAGGCACTATTATGCATGTTGGTGGAACAAGCAAAGCTTCAGCATTCATGGACCTTCAGTTCCGATGGAGGGATTCAGAGAGTTAACAAAGTAGACAAACACACATCATGCCATGTGGTAATCAAAGCCATGAAGGGAAATATAACAGGGTAAGGGAGGGCAGGGGGTGGAAATGAGGTGGTGAGACAAGACTTTACATGAGAGATAAGAAAAACAAGACATGAGAGGGACACTTGTCCCTAGGTCACACAGTGAGTGACCAAGCCAGATTCAAAGCCCAGATGCCTGGCTCAAGAGCTCTTCAACACTGCACCAAGCTGTGCTCTTGACCCCACAACATTCTGTAGTGGATTGCTGAGAGTATTTCCAGGGGAAGGGTCCATACCTGCTGTAGATAGCACTGCAATAAGAATTAACACAGTGTGAGGACACAAGGAATTGAGGAGAATTTGGAGTACCAATGCATAGTCCTATTTATTGAAAGCAGATCAACCAACAAACAAGGTTTAACAGATAAATAGCAAGATTGCCAATATAGTCAGCTTTTTATAAATCCAATAAGTAGGCTTTGTAAGCATTTACATAAAAGCCTCAGTTTGAAATCTGAGATTGCATCTGACAAATCTATTGCAAGTATAAATTGTGCTAATTTCAGGAGATTCTTAAACCCATAAACTCAGCACCACACTCCTTGTTCAGTAAAGCAAATCTCTTGGTCAATATTCCTTCAGATGTGGTGAATACTGAGTAATTAATCTTAACAAAGTTAATCTTTGTCCACTTCCATGAAATTAGTTTCTAAAGAAGTGTTAAAAGCACTGGCTATACAACAGTGTCTATTAATAAAACTTCTGGGTCCAAATGAACAGAACCTGTTCTAATGATATAAGAGATATGGAAAATGCTGACAGGTTGTATGTCAGCATACGTGTAGCATATATGCAAACGCAAAGCAAGCCTAATCATGCCATTCTTTACAAGTCAGGGTCATTAACAGTACCACTAGGGAAAATAGAAATTAGATTTCATGTAGGATGGTTTGGAAGCATGAAGAGAATAGAATGCCTTACCTTAAAACAGAACTAGTATTCAGTGATTTTTGGATTTATAACTATTGTTTGTTGCATTTCGAAAAGTGTTTTCTTTATAAAAGCCTACTAGGCCAGGCACCGTGGCTCACACCTATAATCCCAACACTTTGAGAGGGTGAGGTGGGTGGATCACTTGAGGCCAAGAGTTTGAGACAACCTGGGCAACATAGAAGACCGTTCTTTAAAAAAATTAAAAACCAGATGGACGTGGTGGTAGTCCTAGCTACTCAGGAGGCTGAGGCGGGAGGATTGCTTGAGTCCAGAAGTTTGAGGCTGCAATAAACAACAATCATGCCTCATGCCTCTGCATTCCACCATGGATGACAGAATGAGACCTTGTGTCAAAAAAAAAAAAGGGCCATCTAATTGGAAAAATGGCAATAACTATATAATGGCAACAACACAGAAAGAAAATAATTTCTTCCATTGTTCTTTTTCTTAATCTTATCTTTTATGGGATTTCTATCAAACTTGTCACTTGAGGAGGGCCAAATCACGAAATAGCAACACTTTTGAACCAAAGGTTCTGAGGTTTAGCCACAATTAGTAAACAGAAGACCCTAATGAAACTCAATTTGTTAAACCTCAAAATTTCCAGTTACCCGAAAGAAAGTATAAGGAAGCAGCATACCCTGTTTCATTAAAGGAAATAAATCCAGGCCATCACAAAATTCCATTTCTAATTCCTTCAAGGAAATACTGAAATATTTTTAGTGATTTGCTATAAGGTATAGATTGGTTTTGAAATATAAAGTGTTATATATAACTTGGGAAGCTCCTTTTTTCTTTCAGGCTTCGAATTCGTATCCCCCATCCTTCCATATAAAATGGTTTTTAAAGCATAAGTGCACTGAATAAGGCAGTGTTAGCAGAAAACAAGGTAAGATATAAGGGAATAGTGCATTTTCATTCTTCCGATAGGACGGCTACCTTTAGTATTTGGAGCTATCATTTAATGTTTAAGTAACTGTTTTAAACAGAGCAGAAGTTAATGAAATAAAGATAGAGCTTCTCCCTCCAGAAGCTTTATCCTTCTCAAGAGTTAGCTAGGACAGTAGAAGTGTTGAGTGTAGAAAGCTATTCTTAAAAAACCAACACAACCTTGCCCTTGAGAAACCAAGTACAGATAAGACAAGACATGTACATCAAAGATGAATCACAATATGGTGTGATCTTGTATAATGAGCAGTAAAGAGGAAAGCGATGTGTGGGGCTTTTGCGGGGAGCTTCTTAAGAGAGGAGGAGGAGGAGTCAAAGATAAAGAATGTTCTAGGTGGAAGAATGACCAGCAGCAAAGGTCAGAGGAAACGTAATTGGGACAGTGGATCAGACTGGCTGGAGCAACAGGTTATATCTAGGTTATATGGAACCTTAAATGCCATGATATAAAATTGGTATTTCCTTCTGTAGCCAATAAGACAGCCATCGGAGGTTTTTCACTGATCATACATGTAATGGGGCAAAGGAGGAGTATTTTTGGAAGATTAATTCAATAATAAGATACAATATGGATTAGAAAGGAGAGTGATTAGAGGCAGGTGATCTAATTAGAAGACCACTTCACAAGTCCAGACTTGTAGACAGCACACACCAGGGAGATGGCAGTGAAATGAACACATATGAGAAGCTTTTTGAAGATATTAGAACTGCCTACAGAGTGACTGCATGAGGGACAAGGCCGTGTCACAGATGATTAGCTTTTAAAGCTTGGGTAAACAGCAATATGTTGGATCCTTAATTGTTAGCGTTTGCTAGTCTGATTAAACGCTACATATTTTTCTTTCAGAGGTGAATAAAGAGAAGCTTCTTTTTATTCTATGAGTAGGGCTTTACACAGAAAGGACAGGGCACACAGAATCATAGGCTATGGGTAAAATATCATCAACAATATTAATAACGCTTCCTGTTCACCTGAAACCAAGTAATGAAGAAAAGGGAGGACCCTTGGCAGAAAGGGGGAGTTAAGGGTTTGGTTACCTCTCCAAGCTGTTACTTTGCTGGCAGAGAGTGATAGGCTTGTTCCTGCAGCCTCTCATCTCCCAAGGAACTGATACTTTTCTTATCCCATGAAACAGGGGTGGGACGTTCCTCAGTGGTCTCAGCATATGCCTCAGAAACATTTTGGACCACATGCAAGGGCTTGCCTGAGACTTCCCAAGAAGGGGCCCTTTGGGCCCTCTCTATTTTAGGGTTATAGGTATAGACTTGATCTGATTAAGAGTAGCCAGGCATTCAGGTGATGTGCTCAGGCACAAGTAACTTTCTAAAACATAACCAAAGCCAGACACACCCTTATAATTCAAACATAGCATTAGCGCCTAAACTCAAACTGCTATTGTAGTAAATTGAAGGATGCTTCCTCCCCACGTATGTTCACATTATGACCTTTGGAATCTGTAAATGTTATCTTATTTGGAAAAATTGTCTTAGCAGATGTAATTAAGTTATGGCTCCTGAGATGAGGGTCATTCTGGATTATCCAGGTGGGCTCTATATACAATAAATGTCCTCCTAAGAGATACGCAGAGAAGAAGGCAATGTGATAAAAGAGGCAGAGACTTGAGTGACATAGCTGCAAGTAAAGAAGCCAGCAACCATCTGAAACTAGAAGAGCTATGGAACAGATTTGCCACTAGAGCCTCTGTAAGGAGTATGACCCTACAACACCTTGAGTTTGGACTTCTGGCTTCCAAAACTGTGTAAGAATAAATTTATATTGTTTTAGGCCATCAAATTTGTGATAATTTGTACAATAGACCTAGAAAACTAAGATAGCTGTATTGAAAAATCAGTTAGCATCAGCCAGCTTTATATTTAATGGACTGTACGTCTTAACAGTTTATATGGCACTCTGGTGACCAAAAAGAAAGATCTAGTCTTTACATGATATTATGTATAATAATAAAAATATTGGCTCTATAAATTGCACGCCTATTATATACTAGCCCTCCTCCAGGATCTTAATAGACATGAACTACATATCTAGGTAGAGCCAAGATTGGACCTTCTGACTCTAAATCCAATGCTCTTATTATTTTATTTATTTATTTATTCATTCATTTATTTATTTATTTATTTATTTATTTATTTATTTATTTATTTATTTTGAGATGGAGTTTCACACTTGTTGCCCAGGCTGGAGTGCAAGGGCATGACCTCAGCTCATCACAACCTCCACCTCCCAGGTTCAAGCGATTCACCTGCCTCAGCCTCCAGAGTAGCTGGGATTACAGCCATGTACCACCATGCATGGCTAATTTTTTGTACTTTTTTTTAGTAGAGACAGGGTTTCACCATGCTGGCCAAGCTGGTCTCAAACTCCTGACCTCAGGTGATCCGCCCGCCTCGGCCTCTCAAAGTGCCGGTATTACAGGCGTGAGCCACCGCCCCCAGCCAGTGCCTTTTTTATTAAGTGTCTTTATGCAGCAGAAAGGAATCATGAGGAAGAAAGCACTCTTCAAAATTTGTAAATGAAGAAATCAAATTTTTTTTCAAAAGGCAACTGAATAGTTTAATAGTTTTTTCCTTCTGATTGTTACATCTTTAAAAATGCAAAAGAATAAAAAGAAACAGGAATTAAACCTGAAAAATAAAGATCGTGACTTGGAAAAAAAAGAAAACATTGAATCAGTCTTGTTTTCCTCGACTCTCCTCACCTCTTGTTCTCCATGGTGAAGTCAGAGTTCCTGATGGACAGAGGAGTACTCAGATCCTGGGAGAGTGGCCCCTGATAGACTAGTCTTCTGGCAGTGGCCATATGAATGATCTCTAAGACAGAATTCTTGCATTATGTTTCTAGATTCCTTTTGGCTAGAGTTAGTTCTGGGTTTAGAGGTTTCAGAAGCATCAGCTTTCTTGGAAGGAAGAGCTAGGAGACTTCCTTTAAATACCATTTGCACAGCAAGGACACCATTTGCACTTAGATAGTATGTCTGTGGGTGGGAGGGGGCTGCTAATGCCCCACTTTGCACCATATGAACCCTGCAATAGGCTTTAGCAAACAATCTGAGGTCAGATTTAAAGGGAATCCTAAGGAATCTAGGCCTCCCTAACCCTAAGGTTGGCCAGTGGAGTGGTTAAGCAACTCTGCGCAAATTGGGGCTCACCTTTCAGGGCTCAGCAAGAGAGAACAGGAGAAAGTAGGCCAGGCTCTCAGAGCAAAGTCATTAAGAAAATTGCTTTTTAGGGGTATCTGTAGTATATACAGTCCTTTACAGAAAGGACTCTCTTTCCCTGGAACCAACAGGTTATCTGCTGTAATAGAAAACTCCTAGGTTCTCCATACCATTTGTAAAGACTTCTTTATCCCAGGAACTTAAACACCATTTGTAGTATATACTCCATTGTATACACACATACCCCGAGATGTGGTTAAGTTTTAGTAGATGGAGAGGTGTAACCAACTTATCCTGACTGCTTGAACCACTTGTGCAATTCCATGAGAACTCTGCTAATAGAGACAGAAGAAAGAAATTGTATGTTTGATTCTTATCTCAAATGAGAGCCTTTTTAGCTATTTCTTCAGGATATTTTTAACATCAGATTTTGTAAGGCTTTGATGAAACAAACAGCCATTTTGGATGGCTAAAGTTGAGGAAACACTGCTATTTTCAATAACATCATAATGAAAGAAGTATTCACAGGTATAGCACAATGTGATGGATTAACAATGCATCTTTTCTAAACTAACTAATATACTGTCTTCAAGTTTTATGTTGTATTATAGTGAGCAGAGCCCAGTGTTAGGAGTCAAGGTTAGATCCAAGTTTCAAATGGGCCACATACATCTGAGTGACTGAGGAAAAGTCATTTTACCTCTGAGCTTTTATTTCCTGAACTTTAACTCCAAGTTAGTTATCCTTACTTACCAGGATAACTAATTTATTGCAAGAAACAAACAAGATAACATGGGAAAGCATTTAGCACATATAGGCATGCAGTAAAAAAATTCTGTTGAATCTTTAGCTTCGATGAGGCAAAAATGTGGCTGTTTCTTCCTACATCTCCACCTAGGAATTTAAAAAAAAAAAAAAAAAGACAAAAGCTCACTTTTTCCATCCTGAACTTTCCATTCTGGACATTCTTACTAAAACTTGGCTTCATTTTATGTGAATATTTTTATGTATTTTAAAAGTCAATAGAAATCAGTTTCAGATCACTAACTCCAAAAGGGAAAGTGAGTAATTATACAACATAGAGTGAGGCAGGAATGTCAACATGATCACTTAAAACAGTATTCGTATCTGCATCTTAAAGAGAAGGCTTCTATAGTGCATAAAGTTGTGACACATGAACAACAAAAAGCCAAAACGGTAAAGATTCCAAAGAAAATAACTTGCTGATGTCCTAAGCTTGAAGAACATTTTTAATGCACTTTCTTTGTTCCCATCCTCTAGGCTAGATGTGGAAGTTATGGCTAAAGTCCTTGGCATTGTCATAATAACACAGATATTTAAAGGGCTATGGCTCATATTTCAGGAGCTGGCCTTTGAGTGGCCTCAAGGAACAAGAGTACCATTTTATTCAGCTCTGTTGGCACTTTGACCTTTTTGGGAAACATGCTGTATTATCTTTCACACTGTTATACCATTTTTTAATTTGCCTGTCAAATTAACGTAGTAGACTGTTTACAGCTGTTTTATGTAAAGTTTTACTGATAAAAATTCTCCATAAATGTGGACTCTTGCTGTTTTAAAAAGAACCACTTTATTAATCAAAGGCTTTTAAATCCAAATTCCAACATAAATATGGCATTTTATACCAAGGTTTTCTAACTGTAGGAAGCATATAAAAGGAAACACCAAATTTAAAAAATTTGTGAAATATCTTCTCAAACCACAAGTACAAATCCAAGTTTGAGGCTACTAAACAATACAATAGTGTTTAGACCCTGCTGTTCAAAAGGCTTTGGAAATTTCAAAACATATAAAATCTTGATTCAAAAATTACAACTTCTCCCAGAAGAATACTGCAGAAAATAAAAATAACTTAGCTGGGCTCCCACTCCCCTTTCCAAACATATCATAAAGTCTAGGAAGGCCAGATTCTCATCCTATATAACTCTCTGAGAATTCCCACAGGGAAATCTGTGAAAGAATTCAGAAACTTTCCTTGCGGAAATTCTCATAGAGAGACATAGGACAAGAATCTGGTTTATAAACAATAAACATAAACTTTTTTAAGATTTGATCTTTGCCCTTAATTAAGCTCCAGATGTTAAGTGGGAAGAGATCATCTTGGGGCCCCAATATTCTGTTTCCTGGGTTTCCAAGAATTCAGTCAGTCATTCAGCAACTGCATTGCCATAAAAAGACAATAGGATATTTGTAAAATTGCCACATCCTTTTTAATCCAGTTTTCAATAGGATGGGAGCTAGGACACATAGGACAAATTGAATTTTAAGCAGAGGAGTAATATGATTATATTTGCATATGTGGGGTTTTTCAAGTACAAAAATGGCATATGCTTATTGTAAAACATTTGAAGAAAGAAACACATATAAAAATAAAATAATGAAAGTCCTCAAAAGAAATCTAATAGACTTTGCCAATTAATATAATTCAGGGCTGGGCGCAGTGGCTCACTCCTGTAATCCCAGCACTTTGGGAGGCCAAGGTGGGAGGATCACCTGAGGTCTGGAATTTGAGACTAGCCTGACCAACATGGAGAAAACCCATCTCTACTAAAAATACGAAATTAGCCGGGCGTGTTGGCACATGCCTGTAATCCCAGCTACTCAGGAGGCTAAGGCAGGAGAATCGCTTGAACCCAGGAGGCAGAGGTTGCGGTGAGCCAAGATCACGCCATTGCACTCCAGCCTGGGCAACAAGAGCGAAACTCCATCTAAAATAAATAAATAAAAATAAAATAAAATAAAAATTATATATATATATATAATTCAGATATATTTTTTTCATAGAACAAAGAGAAAAAATAAGGTCAGGTTATCAGGTAGCAACTGAATAATTTTGAAAACTTCACCTACCTAGAATTCATTGTATAGTATTCTCCAAGCAAAGGAGAGTAGGAGTTTTTTAATGTGCCCTACTCATTAGGACAGAAACAAGAATGGAAGTAGGGGTCATGAAGGTCAGAAATAGGCTTTGTCATGCTAACTGCCATCAGAACACTGAAAGTGGAAGGAGGGCAAGGAAGGAGGAGCCCACAGATCAGACCCACAGAAGAGTTCAGAAGTCAGATCAGTCACAGGGAGGAGAAAACAAGACTGCTAGAAAACCTTAATATCTTCTCCTCCACCACCTGATCTTAACTTTCAGGTTAACCCATCTGTGCATGGCACTAGAGTGCTGTGTGAGCACTCTAGTCTGGGAGCAAGAACAGACAGGCTTTACAGTGTGATGGCTAACACTGACTGAGTACTTACTGTGTGCCAAATACTATTCTAAGAAGCATACATGCATATCTCATTTCATCCTAACAGCAACCCAATGAGACGGGACTATTATTAGCACCATTTTACAAATGGCAAAACTTAGGCCTAAAGAGATCAAGTAATTTGCTCAATCACATAACCAATAAATGATAATGAAGTTAACTTTTATTTTTTTAGTTTTTCTATAGATACACAAACCAGTGTCACTATATTCACTATATTGACCAGTTTGTTGAGGGGGGAAAAAAGTCATTTAAAAAAGCACCAGTCTAATAAATAGGATGGTTGAGATTTTGTTTTGGATAAGAAATCATCAGTCTAGCCAATTCAGTCAAAATTAATAATCTGTCTTTTGAAGTAAACACAACCTCAATGCACTCTTGAATGCCAGTTCTTTCAAATGCCATATACCTTTCCTAACCTTCTTAATGAGCTCCAGTTATTCCCAACATCAATTGTTTATTTGGGGAGAGGTTAGGAGCTGACATTGTTTATAGGCAAGGAGAAATAAATATTTTAGCATTCCACAAAACCCTTTCTCAGGTTCATTTGCCCATATGCTCAGGAATGTTTACCCTGATCCTCAGTGAATCTTTTACCTTTCCAACACCCTGGAGTATCTTTGTTCAAAGCAAGACCATCCTACATGCCAGGAGCATTGTCTGCTAAGAGCTCACACATACAGTATCTGTGCGCTTTCTTTCAATATAAGCAGTATTTTGGTTGAAGGCAGCATCAAAACCCAGAGTTTTGGGGCACCTTTTCAGTCTTCTCTCTACCCATCTTTCTCAGAGCTCTAGATACCCACAGGCTGACTTCCTGAATGCTCCTCTCAAAAGAATTCCTCCCTGGCCAAGACCAAACTTCTATTTATTCATTGCAGTAGATGTGAGAGGCACAGAATCAATCTGGTGAACAAATTATAATCAATTTAAAAAACAATTTTGGTTAACTAAATGAATCCCTAATGGGCAGGTTGATAGAACGGACCATTTCTGGAGCAAGAAAATTTTCTCAATACTAACAATACTTCCAACTCCCATCTTATATATTATTCAAATAAGAGTCAAAAAGCTCCAAAAGGTTGCCAGTGGCCACATTTGATTGTTAACTTCAAAAGGGCCTTTCTGCTTTTGCAATTTTTCCATGCACACAGTGAGCAAAATCCATAAATGTATTTTCAGATTTCACATAAGAGGGCATCATAGTCCAAGCTGAACTCTAAAATCAATAGTCTCAAATGGTAGTTTTTAATCTTCTTCAAGAATCTGATAAGAGTTATATATACACACACATAGAAATACTGCAATAAGATCCCATCATGTGAGCAGTTGTAAAGAAAAGAAATGGAAACTATACCCTAACACCAGTCTTTAAATAACAGCCTCATCCTTCCAACCTGGTTTCCTCATTCCTAAAATGAAGCCATTCAAATTTCCTAATCTCTCATGTTTTGTCAACTCTAGGACTTTTTTTTTTTACCACTTTTTTTCGTATGCTCACAGAAAGCCTGTTTTTATTATACTCTTGCAATGGTAATGATACAATCTCTAAAGACAAGTTAACAGAAGACCACATAGATTCAGAATATTTGCTTCATGGTGAAGAGGTGTCAAAAAATAAACAAACAAAAACTTCCTAAAATGTCTTTAAAATGGAAAGTATGTATACTAGAAACAACCTAAATAAGAAAATGACATGATATTTATATTAATACCTTCAGATAGAAAGTGTTTCCCATGTATTTAATTTTGGTACAGATGTGATTGTGAAGGCTGTTTATTTTTGGTACAAAAGATAAAATTAGAGGAACAAAATAAGGTCCAGGTTCTCAGTAGTTTACCTATTATACTCAAATGATGAGTAGGAAGTATTGACATAGGAAAACTTCTTCACTGCCCTCAAAAGTAATAGAGAATAAAATAGGGCAGATCCACTCATAAATTGAAACATTTCTGAGCAGAAGGATTGGAGACAATGAAAACAAATCCTATCTGTCAACCAAAGAACCACTGAAGATATCTGAAAAGAGTTATCTGAAAGAGGAAGGAAGAGGCCTTTAAAATTAAGTGGAAAATACAACCCCCATCATTTCACCTCAGTGATGCTTAATAGTTTGGACCTAGCTACAAATAGAACAGCGAGCATTTGGTCAGCTGCCTGGAGGAAGACCACAAACACAAAGCAGGGATGACGTAAGATCCAGTTGATGTAAAATCCAGTAGGTATAATACCAAGTAGGTGAGAAATCCTTAAAAGTAGACTTAGCTTTATGAGAGAGGGAAACACGCTGTCCTTTGCTATTTTCACAGTGCCAGAAGCAATGTTGTTAGCACAAAGGCACTTAATATTTGTAGAATAAGTGAATGGATGCATGTCAGGTAATGTTGGGAATTAAGTTCCAATTTGCACATGTGATAAATGAAAGAAGCTTCAGGCCATCAAAAGCTATTAACAGAGCTGGGACATAAGATCAAGATTAGTGAAGAGCAGAGCATAAGAAAAGATCAAAGAAAGAAAGACATTTACTACTAGAGCAGAAGGATATGGGAGCAAGGTATCTGGAAGCTTTTGAGTGGGAACCAGGAAACCTTTGTCTCAACCCTCCACCTCGATGCATTATATGACCTCAGACAGTTAATCTGACTTCATATTTTCCTGTTACTGACATTCTCTCCCACTTTTAAGGGAGCATAAGAGATTCCTTAAACACAGTAGTGAATGGATACTTTTCCTTTGGGGCTGGACATCATCAACAGATCTGTGTCCAAAACATATGCTTTAAGTATTTCTAGTTTCTTTTCTGAATCAGTGCTAAGGATGAAAGTTTATTCACTCAACAAATATTTAGGGAGCATCTGCTATTTGCCAGATATTATTCTAGGCAGGGGTAACTACCCTTTACTTTGAGTAGTTCACTATTTTGAGACACAATCTATAGAAAGCAATTGGGAAGCTACAGAATATTTAGGATCACTTTATTTTTATTATTGCTAAGTGTCTTAAGGTTTACACATCATCTCACCTCTCATTCATTTCTCTTCCCTATGCCATCTGACTCGAGCCTCCTGGCTACTTGGAAACTACCTTCCTATGACGCCATATATGACTGCCTAATTCTTTGAACTTTGCTCAGGTATTTTTTTTTCAACTTTTGTTGCAGCACTTGATATTATTGATTGTTCTAACTTTATTAAAACTCCAACCTTCCCTGGTTTTCATCTCAATGATATAATGAGTTCTAAACATTTATCAACTGAGTTTGGAACCACAGAGATATTAGTGTAGATCTCATCTTTGTCATCTTGTGAACCTGAGCAAATTACTTAACCCAAGTCAGTGAGTTTCTTCATCCATAAAACTAGGTGCTTGTATCTTCATTCAACACCCCCGCTTACACTGTTGTTTTTAAGGATTTTATGAAGTTAAAGCCTGGTACCTGGCACATAGTAAAATAATAGGATCCACGTAAGAGTTCCATTTTGGTTCCCCTTTTCTCTATCTGCACTACTACTGCCATAACTTGAGGCCCTCCTCTCTGAATTATTGCAGCGGCCTTCTCACCTGACCCCCCTGCCTTCAATCTCTCATGGCTTCATTCTACTCTCCACCTAGGGGCTTTCCAAAATGCAAATCTGATCATATCACCATCCTTCTTAAAATTCATCAGTGGAATCCAGTGACCTGTCAGATAAACGGCTCAAACTCCTAAACCTGATGTGACCCAGGCTCATCTCTGCCCACATTAACCACAAAAGCTTCCTTCGCCCTTTACTATGGCCATGTTGAATGATCCTAGTTCCCAGACTGCTCTGTGCACTCACACAGCTCCATGTCATCGCATGTGACTCATGTTCTACTTGGAACACTCTTTTCTGCCTGGAAAACTTCTGTATGTTCTTCAGGATTCAGCTCACCATTATATCCTTCTTACTTCTTCCCAAAACAGACAGAGTTAGATCTCACTCTGAAGTGGTTCAGTATTATCTAATGCATACATTATGTTTTAACCATTAGTTCTGCTTATCTGTCTTCCCATTTAGGTATGTTCTCCATGAGGGACTGTATGTTTGCTCCCAGTTCTTTTCATAGAGCCTGAAACCTAGTATGTTCAATACATGTTTGTTGGCCTAATTACATAAGTGTGAGTGTTAGTGCTTTGGCATACAAAACAGAATTGGAAAAGTGGAAAAAAAAAAAACAGAAGATGGGGCTTAAGTCAGTCCAAATGTGAGAGTGAATGAACCAAGAGTAAAGGGGAAGATTTGCAAAATCAATAATGAAGGCAGTATGAAACAGAATTAGACTCTGCCTAATAACAAACATGTGTACAACATATGTGTTTTTTTCTGTGGTCCGCTGAGGAAACAGTTTCTACTTTTTCAAAAGCAAATAAATATATAGGGGCATATTTAAGTTCTAGAACATGGAGCAATAATCAATTGCAATTCTGAAAATTGCATTTTCAGAAATAGGTCTCCACTAAGGTTTTGTTCTCAACATATCATTTAAGAAAACATAATCTCAATGTAATCAAATGCTCACATGTAATCAATAATGTGAGCCATGGGGTTGGCTAATTGACTGTGCAGTGACCAACTCCTGTAGAGCTCGTTGGCTGAGATGAGAAATAGCAAAGGCCGTTACAGGAAATAGACTTGTCTTGTGGAATCATGAGAATTTAGCCTCCTTTGAGAAGGAACTCTGAGCCTAGCCATGTAACAGCACCAAGAGGAGAATGATGTTGAAATCATGTGTGTCCATGTGCATTTCCATGGCTTTAACTCTCTTATAAAGATTCCCTTGAAGTACCTCAATACACAAGAAAGAGCTAGTGATGTTGTATTGTTAAGTCTCAAACTGTTATATTTTAGCATTGACCACTGAATTTATTTCTTAGTGAATTTATTTCTTATTTATTCTTTAATAACAACAGTGTAAGCGGGGGTGTTGAATGAAGATACAAGCACCTAGTTTTATGGATGAAGAAACTCACTGACTTGGGTTAAGTAATTTGCTCAGGTTCACAAGATGACAAAGATGAGATCTACACTAATATCTCTGTGGTTCCAAACTCAGTTGATAAATGTTTAGAACTCATTATACCATTGAGATGAAAACCAGGGAAGGTTGGAGTTTTAACAAAGTTAGGATAATCAATAACTCATCATATATTTATGGGGACAAGTTCATTTTGTGATTCCCTGGAACTGAAATTATTATTTCACCACAGTTGTTACAGCACATTTCTTGTTTGAACTTAGTAACAAAATGTCAAGAGAGTATACTGATAATTTATAAATTTAACTCTTTGGGGCTTTTATACTGGTATGGTCCAAAATCAAGTTTTATTTTCTGAAGTTACAATGAAAATAAGAATAAAGTAAAGTATAATAAGGAAAACAATTATATGGTAAAAATCATTAACTCTGATATTAAATTATGGTCGAAATTTCAAATTCTCTGATTGAATTAATTTGAATAATAAAACTATGAATATTTTTAAAAACTTATTTAAAAGGTCTTTGAACTTTTATTCTTTGTTAAACTTGGCATAGAACGTTTCCTATATTCTCTACTGTTTTGTGACTATTGTCCTAATATAGATCAAAAGTTGTCAACTACAGCTGAGTGGGCCAAATCCAGCCTGTTGCTTGCTTTTGTAAGTAAAGTTTTGCTGAACACAGCCACACATTCATTTACACATTGTCTGTGGCTGCTTTCATGATCTAATGTCAGAGCTGAGTAGTTGCAAGGGACACTGTATGTCCCACAATGCCTAAAGTATTTGCTGTCTGACACTTTACAGAAAAAGTTTCCTGACCTTTAATATTAACAATGAATATTAAAACAAATAAAGCTTCCTCTTTATTATATGCAACACAGAGCTACTAGGCTGACAAACTTAAAGGCAATTTCTCTTAAAAAATGAAAAATAAAAAGATTTTAAAACAAAAGTTGCCAGTCATCAGAAATGAATTTCAGCTCTGCCATTAATTTTTTCCAACAACTAATGGACAGAAGTTTCTTACTCACCACCATGTATGTTTAGAAGATTAATGACTGGCATTTTATGAGCACAGTAAGTGAGTTATTTGGCTCCACTATTTTATATAATCCTTTGAAAATCTTAAGTAACATACATTTTCAAATATGGGGGATATGGACTGCAATCTAGAACTGTTTTCTTGTAGGAAAATGGAGATAAGATGTAAAATCACTAAGTTAGAGACTCTCATGACTCACAGAATCTTTCTGAGTTCTATTTAAATCATTTGAAACTGAAATTAATGATTCATATATGTGATAGCTCTTGCAGAAGTAAGAAAGAATCATGATTCATCTAATATTAGCGTATGTGCTTTGTTCTTATAGCACAAGGTGGAGAAATGCATGTTTAACGCTTTTAGATGTGTGTTCTTGCACATGTTCTTTTCTCAATTTTGTATCCCAAATGGTAAATAGGGCTAATTAAATTAACTTTCTCATTGCATTACTGTGAAAATATTCATATAAAATACCTGAAACTGAGAAGTAATTTGTGATCCCTCTGATTGAAAATGGTGGCTTTGGTGCACATTCAACTAATGACTAAAGGATATTGTGTATAGATTTTTACCTGTTCTCATCTACATCATCTGTGTGAAAAAATTTTAAACAGTAAATAATTTCCTTAACATAATTTGGTATAAAGTAACATTTTTTGTAAAGTGAATCATACTTTGCTAGTTATTTAAATTACATTTTCAGAAATGGGTCTCCACTAAGGTTTTGTTCTCAACACATCATTTTTAAAAACATTTTCCTAATTAAAACAAATCTAACTTTTCATAGAGAAATATAATTTGCTAATAATCGTATTTTACCATTTATTTAAATTGCATTTTCAGAAATAGGTCTCCACTAAGATTTTGTTCTCAACATATTATTTAAGAAAACATAATCCCAATGAAAACAAATCAAACTTTTCATAGAGAAATATAATTTACTAAAAATTATGCTTGAAACAAAGAAGTTTATAAAAAAATAGTATGCCAAAAAAAATTCCAAATAAATAAATTGCATTATATAAAACACCAAATTGATAATAGTTCATTTGGGTTTCTGTAACAAGATACCTTAGACTGAGTAGTTTATGAAAAAAAATTTATTGGCCGGGTGCAGTGGCTTACACCTGTAACCTCAGTACTTCAGGAGGCTGAGGCAGGATGGTTCTCTCTTGGGGTGTCCTCATGTGGCAGTGAGGGCAAGGCAGCTCCTTTTGACTTCTTTTCATTAGGGCACTAAACTTATTCATTAGGGCTCTTCTCAAAACGCATCACCTCTTACTACTATCATATTTGGTATTAGGTTCTAACATATGAATTTTGGAGGAACACCAACATTCAGACCATAGCAACAGTATTATTCAGTGTCTAAAATGTGGAAAGGGAGAAGTTTCATCTCATTGCATAATGCTTATAGAGGAAACAAAAAAAGGAAGAAAATAAAAAGGAAATGGAGAAATAAAAGCTTTCACATTCAATTGAACAATTCTTCTCTACATAAAGCCGCCATGATTATGTTTTTAAACTATATTTTGGACAATTTCCAGACATCCTTAGTTGAGGTGCAGAACTATATGCAGTTTAAACACATTTAATAATTGCATGTATATAATATGTGCCCTATCTCTTTAAGAACTTGCTTTTTCTTTCATCTTTCATCAGCACACTACTGGGAATGAGGGTGGGAGGTGGGGGTAAAGACAAGTACATTAAAAATCCAGCACAAAAGTAGAGAGGACAGCAGAGTCAAAGTTTATATTCATAATTATTTCCTTAGATGGAAGCATTTTATGCTATATATTAACCCAATTTGCAAGTCAGGTCACCTGTGTCATTTATGTTTTGCACACAAAGAGATTTCCATGTGCTACAGAGCAAATACTAATAATGAAATCAGAGTGCCCTAATAATAACTTTCAAAGCAGGGACCAGCTATTGTTTTTAGCTCTGACAATTGTGATTCCCTAGGTTAGGCCAGCAACTGTAGTAGGGCAGCAGTAGGTACCACAAGGGGTAGAACTGTGACTGTTTTATTTACCCTTTTACTTCTGGTACTAGTAAGTATTTCTTGACCTACCGAAGGAGTTAGAGTTGTCCTTTCTTCATTTCTGCTATTTTCTCTGCCTTTTTTTCTCATGATAATTAGTTACCTTAATTCTCACTCCCTTCTCTTTCTTTGTACTATTGTTAATTTTTTTATTAATTTAATTTATTAAATTTCTCCTCTCACATCAATCCATATATAACCACCTTTTTCTCACCCTCTCATCATAAAGGAATCTAAGAGAGCATAGCCATAGAAAAATGAATCACAAACCTAACCAAACTAGCAACAAAAACAATAAATGTTGCATTTTTTTCATGAGGATAGGGACTAGATACTCAAAAGGATAGATATTATGTTCTTTTCATTGGTAGTGGGCTGGCGTATTCCACATGCACACGGAGTTTGAGAAGTTTTTGATGTTGACTATTTTTTTCCATAAGTTATTGGGATTCAGGAGGTATTTGGTTACATGAGTAAGTTCTTTAGTGGTGATTTGTGAGATTTTGATGCACCTATCATCTGAGCAGTGTACACTGCACCATATTTGTAGTCTTTTATCCCTCACCCTCCTCCCATTCTTCCCCCCAAGTCCCCAAAGTCCATTGTATCATTCTTATGCCTTTGCGTCCTTATAGCTTAGCTCCCACATATCAGTGAGAACACGCGATGTTTGGTTTTACATTCCTGAGTTACTTCACTTAGAATAATAGTCTCCAATCTCATCCAGGTCACTGCAGATGCTGTTAATTCATTCCTTTTTATGGCTGTGTAGTATTTCATCATATACCACAGTTTCTTTATCCACTTGTTGATTGATGGGGATTTGGGTTGGTTTCATGATTTTGCAATTGTGAATTGTGCTGCTATAAACATGCGTGTGCAAGTGTCTTCTTTGAATAATGACTTCTTTTCCTCTGGGTAGATACCCAGTAGTGGGATTGCTGGATCAAATGATAGTTCTACTTTTAGTTCTTTAAGGAGTCTCCACACTGTTTTCCATAGCAGCTGTACTAGTTTACATTCCCTCCAGCAGTGTAGAAGTGTTCCCTGATCACCACATCAGGAAACTTTGGTCACATTTTTGGAAATGTGAAATGCTCTGGAAAGTCTCAGCAATAGCATTGAACAAGTAGAAGAAAGAAATTCAGAACTCAAAGACAAGGTCTTCGAATTATCCCAATCCAAGAAAGACAAAGAAAAAAGAATAAGAAAATATGAACAAAGCCTCTGAGAAGTCTGGGTTTATGTTAAACAACCAAATCTAAGAATAATCAATGTTCCTGAGGAAGAAGAGAATTCTAAAAGCTTAGAAAACATATTTGGGGGGTAATCGAGGAAAACTTCCCCAGCCTTGCTAGACACCTAGACATCCAAATACAAGAAGCACAAAGAACATCCAGGAAATTAATCGCAAAAATATCTTTGCCTAGGCACATTGTCATTAGGTTATCCAAAGTTAAGACAAAGGAAAGAATTTTAAGAGCTATGAGACAGAAGCACCAAGTAACCTTTACAGGAAAACCTATCAGATTAACAGCAGATTTCTCAGCAAAAACCCTACAAGCTAGAAGGGATTGGGGCCCTATCTTCAGCCTCCTCAAACAAAACAATTATCAGCCAAGAATTTTGTATCCAGCGAAACTAAGCATCATATATGAAGGAAAGATGAGGTATTTTTCAGACAAGCAAATGCTGAGATAATTTGCCATTAACAAGCCACCACTACAAGAACTGCTAAAAGGAGCTCTAAATCTTAAAACAAATCCTGGAAATACATCAAAACAGAACCTCTTTAAAGTATAAATCACTCAGGACCTATAAATCAAAAATACAAGTTAAAAAGCAAGAACAAAAAATAAAAATAAACCCAAAGCACACAGCCAATAAAGAGCATGATGAATGCAATGGTACCTCACATTTCAATACTAACATTGAATGTAAATGGCCTAAATGCTCCACTTAAAAGATACAGAACTGCAGAATGGATAAGAACTCACCAAACAACCATCTGCACCCTTCAGGAGACTCACCTAACACATAAGGACTCAAAAAAATTTAAGTAAAGGGTTGGAAAAAGACATTTCATGCGAAAGGACACCAAAAGCAAGCAGGGGTAGCTATTCTTATATCAGACAAAATAAACTTTAAAGCAACAGCAGTTAAAAGAGACAAAGATGGACATTATATAATGGTAAAAGGCCTTGTCCAACAGGAAAATATCACAGTCCTAAACATATATGCACCTAACACTGGAGCTCCCAAATTTATAAAACAATTGCTGATAGACCTAAGAAACGATGTTGATAATTATGATAGTTCAGGGGAGTAGGAAATTGAAATAATCAGAGAAGGAAATGAGGTCTGATCTACATCTGCCCGAATTGTATCTGCCAGAATTGTATCTGCACCAAACCAATTAGTTTTACCCACATCTATGAGATTTGAATGTAAATCACTAGATATGCAACATTTGGTTATCCTCACAACTTCAAGAAGGCTACACTAAAATCATCTCAAGGCAGTATTCGGCCCTGTGCTTAAAGATCCCCAGAGAAGGAACATTTCCAACTGCCAGGTACCAGGAAGTTTTTCCTAAGCCTAACTATAATTCTCTCTTCTGTAATATAAGCCCAGATACTACCCAGCTGACTAAAACAGCTGCTTATCTTCATCTGGAGAATATTTATTTGCCAATTTGAAGAATTGTTTTTGTAGTTTCCCTCCACTTCAGCATTCCCTGGGCCAAGTGATCTTAGTTGCCTTAGCTTTGCCTATTTTGTGACCTTTTTGACAGGTTCATGCCTGCCATTCCCAAGTACACTGTATTTCACTTAATACCTAAGAATAAACGAGGTAGAATTTGGGAAGTGCTGAGTCAAGTGTCTGGGTAACCTCCTGGTTTCTCTTTGCTGCAGTTCTTTATTCATCTTGTGTTACCAAGCTTCATTTTTCCACAGTAGCATTATTTTGCTACTTCCTCATAAGTTTAGGATCCATTCTTATATTTAGAGCTTTCCCGTCAAACTTAAGCCATGTTTTCCTCATCTTCTAACTTAAAATTATGTCTCCTGGATACATTACTATTCTATTGTCACTTGGCCTATGACTTAGGGGTTTAGACCTCATTTTAAACTTCTACCTATTTGACGTTAGGAAAATCCCATAGTACTTTTTCAGCAGAATAAAATGTCTGGGGGAAAGAAAAACACCTTAGAGGTGGTAATATCTGAATTGTAGAGAAGTTTACAGAACTCTTTCATTATCCAGATGATGAAACAGGCTTAGAATGATTAAACAATTTGTCCCAGGTCACAAAGATTCTTGGGAACAGAGGCAGGATTGAAACCAAGATCAATTGATTCTCAGTTGCATGCACTTTCTACAATACACTGAAGCCTTTCAACCATACCTCATGTATAATAACAAAGTTAACAAGCTAGGATTGCCGATGAGAATGATATGAAAATTAGAAGTTTAAAGGAATTTAACAGAAAACTGCTTTTGTTGTAAATTCCACAATCTTATCAGTAAATAGTATGGATTATAGAACTAGACTTCCATTTTTTTTGTCCTTTTTTGTTTTCTGTAGGCAAGGCCTTGCTCTGTTGCCGAGGCTGGAGTTCATTGGTGTGATCATAGCTCACTGTAACCTTGAACTCCTTGGCGTAAGTGATTTTACTGCCTCAGCCTTCCAAATAACTGGGTCTTATAGCCATGCACCACCACACACAACTAATTTTTTTTTTATGTTTTATTTTGTAGAGACAGGGTCTCCCTATATTGCCCAGGATGGTCTCAAACTCCTGAGCTCAAGTGATCCTCCTGCATCGGCCTTGCAAAGCACCTGGATTACAGGTGAAGCCCCCAGGCACAGCCCATCCTGTATTAAACTAGACAAATTTATGTATTTTAGTTAGCCAGGAAAAAAAAAAGCTACAAGAATCCTTTAATTAATTAAAATGGGTCCTTCCCACTAAATTGTCTTTTATTTTAAAGCTTATTATATAAATCTTCAAGTGTGTGCAAATATAGAAATTACAGAATATTGAATCTAGATTCAGCAATTGTCAACATATAGTCAACCTTGTTTTATCTATAATCCCAATGTGACCCAAAATTATTTGATGGAAATTTCAGGCATCATATTATTTCATCTGTAAATATTTCAGTGTATATTTCTCCAAGATAAAGGTACTTGTTTTAAACCATAACAAAAGTTATCACAGGCACAAATATTAACAATAATTTCTATTTACCATGTACACCATCACAAAATTAATATCATCAAATAGCCAGCCAATGTTCATATTTCTTTGATCTTCATATGTGCACATGTATATATAAGTTTGTATGTTTGATCAAGATCAAAATAAGGTTTTGTAATAGAAATGCAATTGCAATATAAGTAATTAACTGATATGTCTCTTAAATCTCTTTTATTCTACAGGTTTTTTTTCTCATTTTTCCCCTTGTAATCTTTTGTTGAAGAAACCAGGGATTATTTTTGCCCTGTATGGTTTCTGTGGTCTGCATTTGGCTGAAAACGTCCCCATGATGTCACTTAACATTCATCTGAGTCTTGTATTTCCTATAAATTGATGGTTATGTCCAGAGGCTTGATCAGATTCACTGGGGGCCGTGAGAGACTACTTTATAGTATTGTATTATTCTATCAGGAGATAAGCTGTTATTAACTATTGCTGAGGTCTGTTAATTCATTAGGAATTGCAAAAAATATATTTTACTTTATTCGCTAGAATGTTTCTAAAGAACATTCCACTTGTTAACTAATTGCCCACTTGTCAGTACTTTTGTCAATATCTCATTCGTAACTGCTTGTCTATAGCTTGTACTTTTAGAGATTACTCAGTAACGGTGCAGGAACTCAGGAACATTCTATAAGATAGAATTTTCTAGAACATTCTATAAAATAGAATGTCATCTTTTTACTTAAATATCATTTGGGCTAGATATAAAGTCTCTGGCTTACACTACATTGTCTTCTGCATAAAATGTTGCTGTCAAAAAGTTTGATAATAATCTGAGTTTCTTTTCATTATAAATGACTTGGTCTTTTTGCCTGGAAACCCCAACGATTTATTAGTATTATAAAAAAGAAACTTTTAGCTGTAAAACTATTAAAGTCTCCTAGTTTTGTTAGAGTATGTCTCAGCAATGGCTGTTATTGGTTTTTTTTTCCAGAGACATGATACACTCTTTCAATGTGTAATATCGATCATATTTCTTTTAAAAAACAAGTTTAGTATTTGTTCTGTTTCATTGCTCTGATTTTCTTCTTCTGGAACTCCCATATGTGTCTCTCTGGCATACTTTCATCATCTGTAGAGAAGTTATTCTGCCCTTTCTATTTTGTCTTATAATGCCTTTGTATGGACAGTTTTATTCTGCTGCTCAGTTGGTTTCAGTGAGTAAGTGTTTCTGTACTGTGAGAAGGGAGGTGCGGGCAAGAATAAATTTTTTTGATTCAGAACTCTAGAGCTCCCTCTTTTGAAAGGCATGATAAAAAAATCCTCATTCTTTGAAATGTGCTTTCCCTGCTCCTACCCCATTTTTAACTAGACCCTCTCTTTTCTGTATCTTATTGCTCCAGTCCTATTCAATTTGGATTCTCTTCCCAGGAGTTTCTCCATAGTGTGGAATAGGATCCTGTCTTGTTAGGGGGCTTTGGTTAAATGCTTTTAAGAATTTGTCTGGCCCAGATTGATCTAGCACCATAAGACCTTAATGAGTCACAGACACTGTGCACTACCCATAGTTGGATTAGGCAAAACACCCTCCCAATTCAGCAGCCATGTATGATTTATGCACATACATTCTGTCACCTCATTTTGCTTTAGATGTTGTCTGCGGGCCTTTGATTTTGCTATCTTAGTTGTTCTATTTTTGTAGAATGTAAGTACATCTATACTGTATCTGCCCAGAATTTTGCCCCACATTATCTTTTAAAAATAAGCAAATCAACAACAAAAAGATGATATAAGACATCATTTTGTGTGGTATTTCCAAGTCCTTAGCCATAAAACTTTTAACCTACAGTAGAACTGCAAGAGAATTGCTCATGATAATTCTAACACTTGGGCAATGCAAAATCTTGAACCATCAGAAAAAGAAAGTCTCTGACTAACTTTTAATTTACTAAAAAACTCATTTTCAATAAATAATTAGAACACTCTATTCTGGTGTTTAGTATTTTGACATTCTGAGGCTGTGAATGCTAAGAGTAACTGAGTTCTGTTCAACTAGTCCAATGTTTTCTAGGACCGAATTTCAACATATATGTTATAAAGACCTGTCTCAATATTTATTATGGTTAATTTACTAAGAATATGTTTACTGTATTTAGAAAGAATTTATAACTTCTGGTTTATGGAAAGCATGTTGATTTTTCTTTTTTGTCACATTGATTTTTCAATTGATTTTTCTCAGAATAATCAGAAGTGCATTTCTCTGAAGTGTGTCTTTCCTAAAGGTGAAATTTACCTTACAAATCAATGGCAACCATAAGGTTATGGTAAAAGGGGTGAGTAGGGGGGAAATTGGGAGAACTCCTGGAATTCAACATCCAATACAATTTGAATTATTGTTTTCTGAAGGAAAATTAAAATGTTCATTAAAGGACAGAAGAACTGAATATTATTTAAAAATTATAATATCTAGGAAATAATATTCAATAAATTATATTGAATAGTACATTAAGGAATTTGAGTTACATATCTGTATTTGTAAAAAGTTAAGGTATTCTTCTAAACAAATCTAGGTCACATAGGGGCATTGAAAACTCTCAAAATTGAGAAACAAGGACCCTCCCATAAGCAGCAAAAGTCCTAAATAAGTAGAATTTAATAAATGCCTGTTCCTGATGCTTGGGTACTTAAAATGGCACATCAATAATAAACTCTTAAGTCATTCATTCAAGATACATGTATTTTATATGTCAAGCCCCGTTCTTAACACATAAGGAAGTTAATATGATGTTATCCCTGCATTTGACAAATATGGTCTAGTAGATTAACCAGGAATGTAAACAGATTCATAAAATGTCATATGATATGTTTCAAAATGGAAGCAGCACACAGTAAAGAGGATAGAGATATCACTTCCTAGTACTCACAGAGAGGTGATTAATAAGGTCCCGAAAGATTGGAAGTGTGACAAAGAGGAAAGAGTATATTCAGTGGAGTGAACAGTATATACAAGGGCATGGATGTATGACAAAAGATTGCATTATGTTCAATGTGACTAGACCAGAGAATCTGAGGAGGAAATAAATGAAGCTACAAAGGGAGATCAAAGGAAAATAGGGATTCCTGTATGTCATGCTAAAGAGACTCTATCTTGTAGATTGGTAATTTTCAATCCTATGAAACCCCACAGGTTAATAATGGGCCACTCAAATATATTAAATTCTATTCTCTGGAACTTGTAAATGTTACCTTATAAGGAAGGAAAGGTCTTTATAGATGTGATTAAGTTAAAGATCTTTAGATGGAGAGCTTAACCTGGATCATCCAGGTGGGCCCTGTATCCAGTCACAAGTGTCCCTATAAGAGAGTGGCAAAGAAAGATTTGACAGAAACACTGAGGAGGCAATGTGACCACAGAGTAAGAGATTCGAGTGAAATAGCCACAAGGCAAGGAATGCTGACAGCCACCGGAAGCTGGAAGAGTCAAGGAACAACTTCTCCCTTAGATCCTTCTGGGACAGTGAACCCTACCAACAACTTGGTTTTTACCCAATGAAACTGCTGACTTATAGACTCCAGAACTCTAAGAAAATAAATTTCTGTTGTTTTAAGCCACCAAGTAGCAACCACAGGGAGCTAATACCAACCCATTGTCCTTTTTTAAAAATTGGGATATAATTCACATACCATAAAAATCACCCTTATGTATTCACAGAGATGTGTAACAAGCACCTCTGTATAATTCTAGAATATTTTCATCACGTCAAAAAGAAACTCCATGCCCATTGGTAGTTACTCTCCATTCCCACCTCTGGCAACCATTAATCTACTTCCTGTTTCTATGCATTTGCCTATTCTGGATGTTTTGTATAATACAGTTGTGGACTTGTGTGTCTGCTTTTTTTCACTTAGAATAATATTTTCAAGGATCATCCATGTTATAGCATGAATGAGTACTTCATTGCTTCTTCTGACTGCATAATATTCCATTGTATGGATATACCGTAATTGTTTATCCATTCATCAATTAATGCACATTTGGGTTGCTTCAACTTTTTGGCTATTATAAATATTATTGCTATAAAAATTTTACGAACATTCATGTACAAGTTTCTGTCTGAACATTTCTTTTTAGTTGTCTTCGGTATACACCTAGGAGTGAAATCACTAAGTTATATGGTAACTCTATGTATAATTTTTTGAGGAATTGTTTTCCAAAGGAGTTGTACCATTTATATTCCCAGTGGCAATGTATGAGGGTTCCAATGACACTATATTCCTGCCAGTACTTGTTATTGTCTCTTTGATTTTAGCCATCCTAGGAGGTATGAAATGATATGCCATTGTGGTTTTGATTTCCATTTCCCTAATGACTAATGATGTTAAGCATCTTTTCATGTGCTTTTTGGCCATTTGTTTATAATCTTTGGAAAAAACATCTATTCAGATTTTTTGTCCACTGTTTAATTGGGTTATTTATGTTTTTATTATTGAATTATAAGAGTTCTTTGTGTATTTTAGATAGAAGTTCCCTATTGGATATATGATATGCAAATATTTTACTATTCAATGTGTTGACTTTTTAACTTCTTGTTTCTAGTCTCTGAAGCACAAAGTTTTTAATTTTGATGAAGTCCAATTTATCTTTTTGCCCCCCTTTGGTTGTTTGTTCTGTTGATACCTAACAAACCATTGCCTAAGCCAAGGTCCTGAAAATTTATGCCTGTTTTCTTCTAAGAGTCTTATAGTTTTTGCTCTTACATTCATATCTTTGCTCTATTCTGGGTTGATTTTTGTAGACCGTGTAAAGTAGATATCCACCTTGTATTAACCATGTCTTTTATTTTCTATATTCTGATGTTTTAGTGTCTTGGGCCCTGATGATGCTGGAGGAACTGACCCTTTTAGAGTTAGTCAATTCTTAGATATAGTAAACCACCAGCCCATGAGGATTTCTTTCAAATGCTAATCACCCAATCCAGAGCTTTTAACCTCAACCATCTTCTTTAACCAGCTCTCACACTCTGGGCCACTATCCACCTACCTTAATTGCCTAAGGCCAGGTACCATACAACTAGGGACTTCCCCTATGCTCCAAAGCCCACTAAAATTATTCAAAGTAGCCAATCCTACATCTGCTTACCCTGACTCACTTATTCCTTTCACAAAAATTACAGTTAAGGCTCTTGTTCACAATTTTCCCTTTTCCTCTGCCTCTTGTTGATCCTGGATCTCCCATGTGTGGCCTTCCGTGGTGTGGTGTGCCTCTTCTTTTGGGATCTATGAGTATAACAAACTGTCTTTGCAATGGCAGTCATCTTCTGATCTGTTGGCCTTGCCATGCCCAAATAATCTTAAAAACATGTACGAAAACATGGCTTCATTCTTTTTTATGTAGATATCCAGTTGCCCCAGAACCATTTGTCAAAAAGACCATTATTTCCCCCACTGAGTGGTCTTGGTCCCCAGTCAAAATCAATTTACTATAGATATATGGGTTTATTTCTGGACTCTCAATTTTATTTCATTGATCTAGATGTCTACCTTATGGCCAGTACCACACTGTCTTGATTTCTGTAGCTGTGTAGTAAGTTTTGAAATTGGGAAGTGTGAGTCCTTCACTTTTTTTTTTCTTTTTCAAGATTGTATTGGCTATTTTAGCTGTGTGAATTTTCATATGACTTTTAAAATAAGCTTGTTAATTTCTGCAAAATAAAAGCAGCAGGGATTTTATAGCGATTGTGTTGGATCTATGAATCATTGATCTCTCTGTTTTCTATCTCTATTTTGTTTATCTGTATTCTAATAGTTATTATTTTTTTTCTTCTGCTTTCTTTGGGCCTATTTTGCTCTTATTTTTCTAGTTTTGTAAGTTGGAATGTCAGATTATTGATTTAAGATCTTTCTTTCTTTTAATATAAGCATTTACACCTACAAATTTTACTCTAAGCACTGCTTACCTACATCCAGTAAGGCTTGGTATATTGTGTTTTCATTTTCATTTATTTCAAAGTATTTTCTAACGTCCCTTGTTAGATCTTTGTCCTATTTAGGTGTGTGTTGCTTAATTCACATGTATTTGTAAATTTTCCAAATTTCTGTCTATGTTTCTGTCTATTATTGGTTTCTAATATCATTTCATTGCTACCAGGGAACATGCTTTTTATCATTTTAATTCTTTTAAATTTACTGAAACTTCTTTTTATGGCCTAACACAGGCTTCATCCTGGAGAATGTCTCATGTACACTTGAGAAGAATGTATTATTCTGCTGTTATTGAGTGAAATATTTTGTATATGCATGTCAGGTTTAATTGGTTTATAGTGTTGTTCAAGTCCTCTATTTCTTTATTGATCTTCTGTCTGGCTGTTCTATCCATTATTGAAAGTGGGAAAGTGATGTCTTCAAATATTATTTTTCCATTCACTTCTGTAAGTTTTTGCATCATGTATTTTGGGACCCTGTTGTTTGGTGCACATTTGTGTATTATTGTTATATTTTCTTAGTGGATTAACCCTTTTATTATTATAAAATAATCTTGTCTCTAGTAAGGGATTTTTTCTTAAATTTTATTTTTTCTGGTATTAGTGTAACCACTCTAGTTCTATTTTAGTTTTTGTTTGTATGGTATATCTTTTCCCAACCTTTTACCTTCAACCTAGGATCTAAAGTGCACCTCTTATAGAGAGCATAGAGTTGGATCAGGTTTTTTTTTTTTTAATCCATTATGCCAAACTAAGCCTTAAATCAGCGTTTAATTAATTTACATTTAATGTAATTCCTGATAAGATAGGATTTATGTCTGCCATTTTGCTATTTGTTTTCTATATGTCTTAAGTCATTTTTTATTCCCCTATTTCTCCATTACTGCCTTCTTTGGTATTAAGTAGAATTCTTCTAGTGTATCATTTTAATTTTCTTGTCATTTATTATATTATTAATACTAATATATTTTTTAAAGTTATTTTATTAGTAGTCAACCTGGGGCTTGCAGTTAATATCTTAATTTACAACAATCTAGTTTGGATTAATATGAACTTAATTTCAATAGTATACCAAACCTCTGCTCCTATATAGCTCCAGTCTCTCCCTGTTTTGTTGTGCTTCCTTGGTCATACAAATTACATCTTTGTACATTGTATACACATTAACACAGATTTATAATTATTACTTTCTAAAGTTGTCTTTCAAATCCGATAAAGAGCTACAAACAGAAAGAAATTTGTGCTTTCTTTTATATTTACTTTTTAGGTATCTTTACCAGTTTTCTTTATTTCTTCATATGGATTCAAATTATAGTCTATTGACCTTTCATTTTAGCCTGAAGGACTTCCTTGAGTAGTTTTTGAAGAGCAGATTTGCTGCCAATGAGTTACCACAGTTTTTTTGCTTATTTGAAAGTGTCTTGATTTCTCCTTCATTTCTGAAGGATAGTTTTGCTGAATGTAGAATTCTTGGTAGATGTTTTTTTCTCTCAGCTTTTTGCATGTCATGCCACTGCATTCTGACCACCATAGTTTCTGATGAGAAATCAGCTGCTAATCCTATTGAGAATCCCTGGAACATAATGAGTCACTTCTTTCTTGCTGCTTCAAGATTCTCTTTGTCTTTGTATTTCAGTGGTTTGACTATGATGCATATAGGTATGAATCTCTCTGATTTTATTCTACATAGAGTGTGTTGAGTTTGTTGGATGTAGATTCATGATTTTTTATCAAACTGGAAAGTTTTAGCCATTATTTATATATATATTCTTTCCACTCCTTTCTCTCCTCTCCTGTGACTCCCACTGTGCATATATTTGATGGTGTTCCCCAAATGTCTGAGGCTTTGTTCATTTTTCCTCATTCTTTTTTCCTTCTGCTCCTCAGACTTGATAGCATCAGTTGACTCATCTTCAAGTTTGCTGATTCTTTATTCTGCCTGCTCAAATCTTCTATCGAGCCCCTCTAGTAAAATTTTTTCTTCTGTTATTTTACTTCTCAATTCCAGAATTTCTGTTTTGCTCTATTTTATATTTCTATCTATTTATTGATCTCTATTTGATGCAAAATCATTCTCATGCTTGTCTTTAGTTCCTCGGACATAGTTTTCTTTAATTCTTTGAATGCAACTAAAATGGCTTATTTAAATCTTTGTCTAGTAAGTACAATGTCTGGGCTTCCTCAGAGAGGTTTTTTTTTTTTTTCATCTTTTAAAGTTCTTGATACTTTTTTTTTAATTTTATTATTATTATACTTTAAGTTTTAGGGTACATGTGCGCAACATGCAGGTTTGTTACATATGTATACATGTGCCATGTTGGTGTGCTGCATCCATTAACTCGTCATTTAGCATTAGGTATATCTCCTAATGCTATCCCTCTCCCGTCCCCCCACCCCACAACAGTCCCCGGTGTGTGATGTTCCCCTTCCTGTGTACATGTGTTCTCATTGTTCAATTCCCACCTATGAGTGAGAACATGCGGTGTTTGGTTTTTTGTCCTTGCAATAGTTTGCTGAGAATGATTGTTTCCAGTTTCATCCATGTCCCTACAAAGGACATGAACTCATAATTTTTATGGCTGCATAGTATTCCATGGTGTTTATGTGCCACATTTTCTTAATCCAGTCTATCATTGTTGGACATTTAGGTTGGTTCCAAGTATCTGCTATTGTGAATAGTGCCGCTATAAACATACGTGTGCATGTGTCTTTATAGCAGCATGATTTATAATCCTTTGGGTATATACCCAGTAATGGGATGGCTGGGTCAAATGGTATTTCTAGTTCTAGATCCCTGAGGAATCGCCACACTGACTTCCACAATGGTTGAACTAGTTTACAGTCCCACCAACAGTGTAAAAGTGTTCCTATTTCTCCACATTCTCTCCAGCACCTGTTGTTTCCTGACTTTTTAATGAACGCCATTCTAACTGGCGTGAGATGGTATCTCATTGTGGTTTTGATTTGCATTTTTCTGATGGCCAGTGATGATGAGCATTTTTTCATGTGTTTTTTGGCTGCATTAATGTCTTCTTTTGAGAAGTGCCTGTTCATATCCTTTGCCCACTTTTTGATGGGGTTGTTTGTTTTTTTCTTGTAAATTCGTTTGAGTTCATTGTAGATTCTGGATATTAGCCCTTTGTGAGATGAGTAGGTGGCAAAAATTTTCTCCCATGCTATAGGTTGCCTGTTCACTCTGATGGTAGTTTCTTTTGTTGTGCAGAAGTTCTTTAGTTTAATTAGATCCTATTTGTCAATTTTGGTTTTTGTTGCCATTGCTTTTGGTGTTTTAGACATGAAAGTCCTTGCCCATGCCTATGTCCTTAATGGTATTGCCTATGTTTTCTTCTAGGGTTTTTATGGTTTTAGGTCTAACATTTAAGTCTTTAATCCATTTGAATTAATTTTTGTATAAGGTGTAAGGAAGGGATCCAGTTTCAGCTTTCTACATATGGCTAGCCAGTTTTCCCAGCACCATTTATTAAATAGGGAATCCTTTCCCCATTGCTTGTTTTTGTCAGGTTTGTCAAAGATCAGATAGTTGTAGATATACGGCATTATTTCTCAGGGCTCTGTTCTGTTCCATTGGTGTATATCTCTGTTTTGGTACCAGTATGATGCTGTTTTGGTTACTGTAGCCTTGTAGTATAGTTTGAAGTCAGGTAGCGTGATGCCTCCAGCTTTGTCCTTTTGGCTTAAGATTGACTTGGCAATGCAGGCTCTTTTTTGGTTCCATATGAACTTTAAAGTAGTTTTTTCCAATTCTGTGAAGAAAGTCATTGGTAGCTTGATGGGGATGGCATTGAATCTATAAATTACCTTGGGCAGTATGGCCATTTTCACGATATTGATTCTGCCTACCCATGAGCATGGAATGTTCTTCCATTTGTTTGTATCCTCTTTTACTTCATTGAGCAGTGGTTTGTAGTTCTCCTTGAAGAGGTCCTTCACATCCCTTGTAAGTTGGATTCCTAGGTATTTTATTGTCTTTGAAGCAATTGTGAATGGGAGTTCACTCATGATTTGGCTCTCTGTTTGTCTGTTATTGGTGTATAAGAATGCTTGTGATTTTTGTACATTGATTTTGTATCCTGAGACTTTGCTGAAGTTGCTTATCAGCTTGAGGAGATTTTGGGCTGAGACGATGGGGTTTTCTAGATATACAATCATGTCATCTGCAAACAGGGACAATTTGACTTCCTCTTTTCCTAATTGAATACCCTTTATTTCTTTCTCCTGCCTGATTGCCCTGGCCAGAACTTCCAACACTATGTTGAATAGGAGTGGTAAGAGAGGGCATCCCTGTCTTGTGCCAGTTTTCAAAGGGACTGCTTCCAGTTTTTGCCCATTCAGTATGATATTGGCTGTGGGTTTGTCATAAATAGCTCTTATTATTTTGAGATACGTTCCATCAATACCTAATTTATTGAGAGTTTTTAGCATGAAGGGTTGTTGAATTTTGTTTTGTCAGAGGCCTTTTCTGCATCTATTGAGATAATCATGTGGTTTTTGTCTTTGGTTCTGTTTATATGCTGGATTACATTTATTGATTTGCATATGTTGAACCAGCCTTGCATCCCAGGGATGAAGCCCACTTGATCATGGTGGATAAGCTTTTTGATGTGCCTGAGAGACAGTTTATATTGACTGCTTTTGTACTGCATGTGTGCCATACTTTTAGTTTCTTTGAATGTCTCCTAATTTTTTGTTGAAACTACATTTTAAAAAATGTTGCAACTCTTGAAATCAGAATCTCCTACCTCCCCAGGGTTTGTGAAAGTTGCTGTTTGTAGTTGGTGCTTGTTTTGTTTGAGCTAATTATTTAATATGTGATTTCTTTGTCATAGGTGGCCATTGGAGTCTCTGATAGCTGACTTAGTGTTCAGCTAATGATTGGACAAAGATTTTCTTAAATTCCTGGAGCTCACAAGTCCTCCAATCTTTGCCTAAGGGCTCTGTGTGCATTTGGAGCACACCTTGAACACTCCAGCAGGCAGTATGAAACTCTGCCTTCACTTTCACTTCCTGCCTCCATAGAGCCACAAGGTTAGGCAGAGTTGAGAATTTAGATCTTTCTCAGGTCTTAGCTGAGCATGCAGATAGCACTGAGTATGCTCACATCCCTACACATGAACTTGTACTTCTAGTTTCCCAGCATTATGTCTGTGCTTTTCAAATCATCCTGTGGACGTATCTTTCCACAGCTTCTCCTTTTAAGCTTTTGGTAAGCTGATTATTTGCTTCAACTCTTATGTACTGCCTCAGGCAACAGTGATGTGAAACAATTGCCACTCAGTCTTTTCTACAAATAATTGAAAATCATTTCTGTTAAGAAAAATATTCACATTGGGTGAACTCTAAGTCAAGTCACATAGAGACAATATTATGAGTGGAATATTTCAGGGAACCATCAGACAGGTCAAATAATGATAGTTCTCTGGAAATGGAGTTTGGAGAGAGCGCTAACCCTGTTCTATCCCCTCCGGGGGCTGCCAGACTGCCAGTGTTTATCATGATTGCAAGTTGTTGGTTTCCCAGGTTATTGCAGAGCTGGGGGCAGGGGAGGGAGAATGAGAAAAGAGCAGAGTAAAAGACAAAAAAGCTTAGTTTTTACTGACATTCAGCCATTTTTTTAAATAAAAGCTTACCTGATTTCTGCTAGTCTTTGATTAATTTCCAGAGTTCTGAAAAAGTTTACACTGACAATTTTTGCCAGTATTTTTATTGCTTGTATGGAGGAGAGGGTTTTCAGAGTCCCTTATTTTGCCATTTTCATTATCACCCCATGTCCTCTTTTAATAACAAATATTTTTAATAACATCTCTAACTATTCTAAAATGAAATTCATGGATAACATAACCTACCAAGACATTTTTTTGTTTTTTAGACGGAGTCTCGCTCTGTCGCCAGGCTGGAGTGCAGTGGCGCGACCTTGGCTTACTGCAACCTCCACCTCCTGGGTTCAAGCAATTCTCCTGCCTCAGCCTCCCAAGTAGCTGGGACTACAGGTGCCTACCACCATGCCCGGCTAATTTTTGTATTTTTAGTAGAGATGGGGTTTCACCATGTTGGCCAGGATGGTCTCGGCCTCTTGACCTTGTGATCCACCGGCCTCGGAACTCCCAAAGTGCTGGGATTACAGGCATGAGCCACTATTCCTGGCCAGTACACATTATTTTAAAATTACTAATATGATTGCCTAATTGTAATTTAAAGAAGAAGAAAGGAATATCATAATAATAATTGAAAATGCTTGGGGACAACTACACTGGAAGACATAATCAGACACACCTGTTTGTATAATCACTTTGAATTGGGATGTTACAAATTATTGCAGTTATATTTTCAGAGGATTCAAATGTCATATGTGCCATGGATATTGATATTATAATTTTCAAAAATGATTAACAATTCTCAGTAAGGTTCAAATGAAACAAAGTATAGTCTTCAGTTAGTTTACATTGGATTTGCATTTATGGGAAATTAGGTGTCTATTAAAACCATGAAAAGAAATATTTAATTTTTTATGTAAGATTGAATTTGGTCCTAGGCTTAAATCATTACATACAGATTTTTTAAAAATCTACATGAATAGTTGGTGGGACAGTAAAATCTAACATGATATGGAACTTCCCCTTACCTCCCTGACTACTACCCACTGAATGTCAGTTAACAGTCCCATAATAATTTATACTTTGAGACACCCTTCCCAAGAAAAATGGCCCTCATAAACTTCCAAAATATCCCCTAGAAGGCAGTACCATTCCTCTGAGAGCCACTGCTTTAGAAGAGCCAGCTGTTAGTTGTTTTTTGGCTTTGGGTTTTTTAAAATCTGAGGTGCACCAAGTTTCAAAGAAAGGTCCCCAATAAGAAAACCAACAAGCTGACTAAATGCATGTGTGCTATGGTCCCTGCTCACTACTCCTCTGCCCCACATTCCACCTTTCAGGAAGTTTGAGTACTGAAATAATACTAAATAATTTGCAGACACTTTGGGGGATTGGATGCTCAAACACTTTTTTCCCCTCTTTTATCTTATTTGGAATGAGAGTTTTATTTAGTGCATTCAGACGAACGAATATTAAAAACTTCCTTAGGTCCTCAAAGAAGGGCCTTGACATCTTTCCTTAGTGAGCTGGTCCAATGTTCTAAATCCTCTGAGCAGGATCCCTGTGGTGTGTGACCCAGATAGCGTCCCAGAGACTTTCACTTTATTTCCTTGTGAAGACACGTGAAAGCTGCTTTATCAAGGAGTCACTAAGTCTGGTCACAACACAGTTTCAAGGAACCAACACTGGGACACTTACCATTTTGATGATTTTATCAGCTTTGATGGTGAGCCTAATTACAAAAGTCCTATCAAATGAATATCCACTGGTTCTTGATAGACCACAACCAAATTGTATTTCCCCCTTGTGTTCCTAGCTATTTATGAATATTGTTGCAAATGCTGTAATTGCCATCACCTTCTTCTGACTTTCTCAATATAATACCTAATTAGTCAGTGTCAGTGTTGCCAGATGATATGAAATGCTGTGGCTTCTGGCCCTCATTTTCTAATGGATTTGGAATTGTATGTATTTATGTCATTGCTCTTCCTTTATAGCAACTACATGCCCTATCCCTGAATCTGTAAATATTCTGAGGCAGGTATATCTTGTAGTCCCCCAATAGCAAGAGTACCCTGCTTATAGTTTTTGGACATTTGTATTTAATGTTGCTCCTTTTATTTCTGTATGCATTCTCACTAGATAGGGCTTTAGCTTTAAAAACTGTGCGAATTTCATTCCACCAGAGGGCACCATGGTAAACTTCACTTTCAAAAGGATCCTTAACAACTCAGTTAAGAAATCCCTAAAAGGATCCTTAACAACTCAGTTAAGAAATCCCTAAAACCGAAATATTGAAACAAATGAATGTAATTAAAGCAGCAATACCTTTGACCAAGATATTTATTCCATCGTGACTTTTAAATCTCTATAGAATGATTCATTTTGCTAAGGGTATGTTAATCACTCTCAAGCACAACTTTGACAAATCAAAAATAGATAGCAGGCTTTATTATGGCCAATGTGTGAGCTCCACAGACTGTCAAAAAAAGAAAACAACAATAACAAAAAAAAACCCAGCACAGTTCTGTTAGGAGACATACCTCTCCTTTTCTGGCTCCAAAAGAGAATGAATGCTTTTTGAATCCTAGGAGGTAAACCAATATCGTAATTTCCTACATGCTACAAAATAGCCATCTTTAGTAAAGCTCCAATTTCAGGGTGGATTTTAATTGTTTACTACTAATAAACCTTGGGAGTTAATTTATACCATCCCTCAAGTCCCAACACAAACAGATTCCCTTTTCCAGAACTCATGGTGGCAAGATTCCATAGAACTCCCCAGATGATGGCAGCTACTATCAGAGCTCTCAACTCTGACAGGAATTAACAAATAACAGGTTACAAACAGGAAACACAGTGTCTCATATCCATGGCTCCACTGATGCATGGTACTATGTAACATGTAGGGTATGTTAATTCCCTGATATTTATTCACTTATTCATTCGACACATAGTTATTGAGTATCTCCTGTGTACCACGTTGTAAGCTCTGGGGATACAGTGATGAGGGCAATTGACCTGATCCTTGTCTTAATGGAGTTTGATTACTAGTAGGGGGAAGTCATATAAAAAGACGATGATAAACAAGGAATCAAATAAAAACATAAGTAATTTCAGTTTGAGAGGTCACAGAAAGTTAATAAAAAGGTTCTATGAGAATGAAGGGAACTCTCACACAGCTTGTGAGAGTAGGACTGTCTGTGTAGATAGCATGAGATAGGAGAAAGAGCTAGCCATGTGATAACATGGAGACAGGGACCAGCAAAATATTTAAGTCTCTTCAGCTGGAAAGACTGTGCTGTGTTCTGATAACAAAAAGGAGGCCTCCATAGCTAGAACAGTGAGTCCTAGGCAGAGTGAGGCAAATTAAACTGGGGCCAGATCCTGGGAAGGATTTTGAATTATTCTCAGGCATGTTTTAAGCAGGATGGCATAGTCCAGAGAATGGATTTCAAGGGAAGGAGGCAAGAGCTGGGGAAGACAGGGTGCCAGAAAGTATTGAAACCAAATAGCAAGTTATTGCAGTGGCTCAGAAGGAGAAAACAATGGTGATTATGGAGATGAACAGAGTAGCCTTATTCAAGGTGTGTTTTAGAAGTAGAATCTACAGGACTTGCTGATAAATTAAACATGGAAAGAAAATTAAGACAAAGATGACTTACAGGTTCTTAGCTTGAGCAACTGGGTGAATGGTTATGTTGTCGACTAAGCCTGAGGAAGGAACAGCTTTCAAGGATAGATGGAAGGAATAATTAGGTATCCAACTTCTACGTGTTAAATGAAAGGCGACTGTGATACACCCCAGGGAAATATATTCAGGACTGCCCTCTGAGCCCTCTAGACATAGGTTTCATTTGTACCACAACCATCTCCCCTTCCAAATACCCACAGAGATGTTTCCTATATCTATGTTTTCAAGGTGTGTGGTCGTGAAGAACAGGGAGCCCTTCACTCCTGTCTGCATTGCCCGCTAAACTACAGGCTGACGTGCCTTCTGATTTTCTTTTCTGCTGTCAGAGCATTTGCTTCCCTCTGTCCTACAGGACAACTCTAAATCATTATCTCCACAACACCTGCTCCATATCAAAAGTGTTAGATTTTTAGCCAGAAGACATGCACTATTTTTCTTACTAGCTGGGTGACCTGGGGCATGCCATTTAACTTCTGGGAGCCCTGCAGGTCTTTGTAAAGACAATATCAATGATTACATGTAAAAGCACTTTGTAAACTGTAAGCAGTTACGTAAATAGGCTTGTTATTCTCATTTTTGTCTCAGTCTCCACCACTGTAACAAATAATCTTCCTTTTTTTTTTTTTTTTTTTTTTGCTCTGTTCTCCTCGCTTTTCTTCTTGCGTGCTTCTTCTGTCTCTTGTCCTTTCTGCCACATAAATTTGCTTTCCTGAAAAAGGCTGGTTATTTGGAGACATCATCACCAGCCAATCAGAGCTCTCTATTCCTTCTGGCTGGAAAGCCAATCAGATGTAAGCTCCAGGTCTCTTTTCAGTGTTGCTAGGGCTTCAGGTCTACTTCTAAAAGCTGACTTGCTTGCTTTCCGCTAGTTCATTCTCTGTCTCTCTCTGCTCCCCACTTCTCCCACCCCCACTCTATTCCTCTCACTCCTCCCCTCTTCTGGGTTTGGAGCAGTTCCAAATACTTAAGGCTTCCGGAAGTTTGGGTTATGGATAAGCAAGGTTTGACTGTATATTTTTTCCCTTGAGAAATAGAGGACAGCTATTCCATGTTCAATATTGAAGCAAATGTTTTAGCAGCTTAATGTCCCTTGGCTACATAAAATTTAGTTCTGTTTATGTGTTTTGGGTGTACAGATCACTTTTTATTCAGATGGACTAGAGCATAAACTGGCATTGAGTTTTCTGGCAATGAAACGTCATAGCACTGGAACCTCACTGGGCTTTACAAAAATGCATTCAAAATATTTTAAAGTACTTCCACTTTATAACTGATGACAGAAGATGATAAATACATTGTGGTTATTTTGCTCCTGTTTTTTGAACTTTCAGTGCTGGGATTATTGGAGACAACTACCCTGAGATAGCAGTGATTTGGGAACTAATACCTAATGGCTAAGTGGGTGTCCTCAGCCCTCACATCCTGCTTATCTATGGAAACTAAGTAACATGGGAATGATAGCTAGAAATCCACCCTTTTCAGAGGACCCAAGAGTCCATCTTTAAATGCTGTATGGCTGGGTATGCTGTGAGGATTCTCTTAACACAGAACAGCTCTGCCTTCCAAAACCCTAAAGACGTTTGATAAGGAAAAATAGCTAACAAGTTATGCCTTTCTCATAACCTTTGAAACCTACTTAAAAACTGAAACAGTACAAGAATTTGCAGTTTAAAATGACCAGAGAAGTGGCAGAAAGCCAGAATTCTGTCAGAGACGGCTTAGAAAAGCTTAATGATTAACAAATGGGTCACTGCCTTCAGGCTCTGACCTTTAGAACTAACCAATTTTAGCCTTTTGGTTATGTTCCTTCAACTCGTTTTATATCAAGGAAAAAAAAATACTCTCTAATGGCACAGTACCACCCATCCAAAAAAAGGATTCTTAGCAGTCCAGTATTTGGTCAGTAGCTTTTCTGATAACATGGAGTTGGTCCTAAGCACAGTATTAACAACTGTTAAATTATATTTTTTGTTAGAGTTTAAGGAAGGCCCTAAGCACGACTGCATATCCTGCAGGTGAAATGTACGAAATTTCGGTTAACATGGTAACGGCTCTAAAAATACCTAGGCTACAGTTTAACCACAGAGTTTCCTCCTTAACGTAAAAAAGCCACCATCACGAGCTGTTAGAAAGTGCAACAAAAGCAATCTCTGTCGGACTTTGTGCAAGCAGGCTATTAAATCAGGCCTGGCAGTGACAATCTGCAGCCACTCTGCATCAAAGTAATAATTAAAGTTTTGCAAGCCCAAACAGCAATGCACAAACCACCTAAGAAATATGTTACATTGATAAGTCCTTTTTTTCTGCCTGTAACTTCTCTTCTCCCCTACCCCCAACCACCAGGTGGACTAAGCAGGGCGTGGCAGGGGCACCGTGACAAAGAGTCACCACACCATAACCACAGGGCCCCACCCGAAGGAAAACCTAGGGCAGGCTGCCACGGTTTTCCCAGCAACCTCTGCACCAGGATCCCATAGAGTATGCACAGGAGGCTAAATCACTCACCTGGGGTTTCCCATCTGGGCTCTTTGCTTGGCAGAGACAGAGAGGGTGGGGTCAACCTTTTCCTTGATGCTTTTGCAGTTAGCAAGTTGGAAACACATTTGACTCTTTTGAATTCTGTGCCTTGGCTATTCAGGAGTCTGTCATGTCTGGGCTTACTAAATTCTACCATGTCTAGGCTGCCGGGTTTAATAAATAGAAATACCTGACATCCAGTTAAATTGGAATTTTGAATAAACAGTGAAGAATTTAGTGAGTGTAAGTATATCCCATGCAATGCTTGGGATACTTACACTACATACTTATATACTTATACTACAAATAATTTCATAGTTTACCTGAAATTCAAATTTGACTGGATGTACTTTCAGAGTCTTTTTATCCACCAACACCCAATTAACAAATTGGTTTTTATTTGTTTGGGCTTTTTAACTTCATTTTGCTTTTATTTAGTTTTGCTTTGCCTTGCAAGCCTTGGGTCAGTGTAGAAAGGCTAATCCAAGGAAATGAGCTAGCATTTGCTGAGCTCATTCTTAAATCAGGCTTCATCTTAGGTACTTTTGATGCATGGTCTTTTAAAATCCTCACATCATCCTCTATAATAGCCTACTTAAAATCCACATTTTATAGAGGAGGGTACCTCAGCTCAGAAAGGTTAAGTGATTTGACCAAGGTCACACAGCTAACAAGGAGGCAAAGCTAGGTGTAAGCCTAAGTGAGTATGACCCCAACTGGCTTTCTCAACTACTTAGTACATCTGCAATAGTCACATTTAAATGTAATAGTTAATTTTTGCCTGTTTATCAGACATTAGGTTCTTTTCCTTAACAAACGTCAACTCAATAGCATAGATTTCATAAGCGAAAAGCTCAAATTGACAGCTGAATTGGGAACTGTTCTCCATCAACTCCTGGTACATAATAAACTATTTTATTAATCTCTTTACTAAAAATGAACTTCCAGGCCATTTCTGACTACTCCACACTAGAGCTATAGTTGTTCTAAGTGCTTTCTATATAGTAATTAATCTAATATTGAAATCAACCCTATGATATAGTCAGTACTATAATTTTCAATTTATAGTGTAGAGAAATTGAAGTTCACAGCCTTTCCCAAGGTCATACACTGGTAAGGGAATTAAGCATGATTTAATCTCATCTTCCTGGCTGCAAAGCCTAGGTTGTGTGGCTTTGAGGAATTACTTAGCCTCTCTGAGCCTAAGTTTTTTCATGTGTAAAATGGGAATTATAACTACAGTACTATCTATATCATTGTTAACCATCTAAATAATGGTTAATTCATTTACCAGTGTTTGACCTTGAGAAAGTCTCTGAACTTAAACAGCTTTGCACATAGTAAGCACTCAACAAACATGAACTTATACAATTATTTTGAGAATTATCTTTAGTAGACACCTTTGACAATAAAGGACATAAGAGAATAGTCTATGTCAGGGATTGGCAACATTTTTCTGTTAAGACCCAAAAAGTAAATATGTTAGACTTTTTAGGCCAAGAGTCAAAATCAAGGATATTATGTGGGCAATTACATGACAAGATAGAAAACAAATTTCTATAAATCTTTATTGACAAAAATGGAAAATTTGATAATAATAGTTAAGTATAATTTTCTATAATATAGGTCTACTGATGAGAAAAATTGAATTCTTTTATTGTGGGAGAGTGATAACATTTCACTTAATTGGGGTTCAAAGTTAGTGCTTCCTATCATCAGAATCAATTGCCCATGCCCATCTGTTAATGCTGATTCATAATGAGGTTTTACATATTTTGTCTTTGAAAATATCTTTTCACACAAATAGATACTGTCAAATACTAATATCTGTTGATGAACATATGATTTTAATTTAGCACAATCATTACTTAAAAAGCACTTAAAGAATTCTATTAGATTCTTCTCTTGGTATTTGCCTTTTAGCATGTCATTATATTAATTACTTCCAATTGAAGGGTAGGTGGAAGCTCCTCAATTGCACAGTTAAATGGATTTTGAAATAAGGAAATTTCATTTGCACTTGCATCAAAGTCCAAAAAAATCCACTGCTGGAATTGTAGTTTGAACTCAAAAGATATATCTGCTGCACGTTTGTGTGGAAATGGAGGTCTTGCTTCTTGTTTTAACTTTTGACAGCACAGGAAATGTAGAAAGCAGTTTGACATTACATGTGATTCAAACAACATTAGTTGTCACTGAAATGACTTTACCACAGTATAAATTTCACTTGTAAGTGCTGTTTTGCCTAACAATTTTAGGTTGAATTTTTAAAGAAACATTAACAGTCTGTAGGAAAGCTCATTTCCAAAACTATTCAGTATTCAATTATAGGTGATAGTGGTGCATCTCATTCATAAAAATTTCAATCTTGGCCCTGAGCTCAAACAAATCATAATGAAATGTTACTACTACTTAGCAATTGTTTCTGCCATGTGATAGAGAAGTAGAATATTCAGATTCTATTCTAACAAAACTTTACAGGACTAATGATGGTTAAGTCCGCAAAAGTAAATGAATATCACCATTGACACTACTGTTTCAATTACACATGATAGATTTAAAGATGTTCCACAAAGCACCGCTGATGAATAATATGAGTCACTATAGGTTTAAGATGCCTTACATTTTGAAAAGCTATATGAATTTGTACAATTAAACCCTTTTTCTGCTTTAAAATAAATATTTTACCACCGTCTATTGGAACACATCTTAGAAGATTCCCCTTCAGGTTGTGCAGAATTTGTGTTCTCTCAGTTTTTTTGGAAATGTTGTCACCTATAGTTTTACAATGCAGGCTATTCATTAGGCTAATTCTTTAATCACTGTAGACTCAGAATTGACTCCTCAAATAAATAATAACTGAGTGGTATCAGCTATATCTGTCAACTCATCAAGATGCAAGGAAAACCACTCAAAATTACTTGCCTTGTCTTTTAATCAACAATTGCCATTGCTTCCAGTATTCTCAACTATTCAAGCAACTGTTCTCACCAAAAAGCTAATAGTCTTAAACAGGTTTGTTCTATCTGGATAATTTATTCAACTGCTATAATCAAACACAATTTAATTTATTCATCCTCAGTAAATAGCTTTCCTTGCTTGGGAAACAAATGAGCTACTCAGAAAATTATTTTTGATGCAGTGTTATTTGCACTTTTTATTTTTGTGAAAAAATTCTACTGTGATGATATATTCAATTTAATTTTTTATTTCTATGACTATTGGTTACTGGTGAGTTGAGAATAATGTGATGAGTGTTTAACCTAGAAATGCCTGTATATATTGTATTTTTTTAGCATAGCCAAAGTGTCATGCACAATAGACACAATGCTTTGCCATCTAATTTGATAACAGTCATCTACACTCCACTGTACCTGTCATTTGAAGTCCACTTTTCTCTTCTTTTACTGTTTTGAGATGATAGGTATGAAATGGCAGTTTAAAAAATAAGATGTCACAGTACAACGTGGCATGTAAAACACAATCAAATGATAACTATGTCAGTATGATTTGTAGTGTACCCAGCAGCACTGCAAAGCAATAAAAGCAACATATACAGTCAATATGTCACAACTACTCTACTCTGCCATCGTAGTGGGAAAGTGATCATAGATAATAGATATATATATGAAAGAAAGAGCATGGCTGGTTCCAATAAAACTTTATTTATGGATACTGAAATTTGAACTTCATATAATTTGTATGTACCAAAAAATTGTTATTTTTGTATTTTTCAATCACTTAAAAATTTAAAGACCATTATATCAGCTGGGGGGATATAAAAAAACCAGACAGGGGTCAGATTTGGCCCATGGATGGTAGTTTACCAACCCCTGTTCTAGGTAACTAAGTATAAAGTAGATTTCAGAAAACATTGATAAATATTTTTCTAAAATTTAGAAACTTTTAAGTGATATATAATTTGTACTTTAAAACTGTCTCTGTTTGATATATCATCTTAATATTTGTTTAATCACAGAAACCTAGTGTAATCTATAATTCAAAGGGACGGTCATCTACAATTAGAGGGAAAATTCAAGGAGAATCAACTGAAAGCCTATTATCACTAATAAAAGAATTTTTTAAAAGCTGAATATAAAAAACAAAAAATACTTTTAATATGTATATATATATAAATACACATACAAATATATACATAATTCAGTAGTTTTACTATACTTCAGCAATGGCCAATTTGAAAATATTGTATTTTTAAAAAACTATCCACAAGAATAACGAAAACAACAGACTACCTAGGAATAAGCCTAAAATAATTGTACGTGAGTAGATGAAGAAAACTTCTAAAACTTTGCTAAAGGATCTACAAAATGACCTGGATATATGGGGAAATATACCATGTTAATATACAAGAAGACATAATAAATATGTCAGTTTGCTACACATTAATTTATTAAGTCAAAGCAAGGCTGTGACTTAAGTGCCAAGCAAGGCACTTGGCGAGTTTATTCTGAAATTTATCTGAAAGACGAAATTCTTAAAATCTGCAAAGATATTTCTGGGGGAAGAAAAATTAGACTATACTATGCGTTCTACTGGATATCAGAACATATCAAAAAGCTATATAAATTAAAATAAAATGGCACTTTTGTAGTAATGATCAAACAGTTTAATGGTTCAGAATAGACAGTCTAGAAATAGACATATATTTATTTAAGAATTTAGTTCATAAAGGAGGCATTTCAAATCAATGGAAAAAGAATGGATGATTTAAATAAATGGTACAGAGACAACTGACTATCCATCTAAAAAGAGTTAGATTTTCACTGTCCCATACCATGTAAAATAATAAATTCAAGATAGAGTCAGAGACTGATCTTATGATGAATAAGAAAAGGTATAAAAGTGCTAGAAGAAAGTATAGGATATTTTTATATTCTTCAAATGGGAAAGCCTTTTTCTAAAAAAGACACAAAACCGGCCGGGCACAGTGGCTCACGCCTGTAATCCCAGCACTTCGGGAGGCCGAGGCTGGCGGATCACGAGGTCAGGAGATCGAGACCATCCTGGCTAACACAGTGAAACCCCGTCTCTACTAAAAAATACAAAAAAAAAAAAAATTAGCTGGGCATGGTGGCGGGCGCCTGTGGTCCCAGCTATTTGGGAGGCTGAGGCAGGAAAACAGCATGAACCCGGGAGGCAGAGCTTGCAGTGAGCGGAGATCACGCCACTGCACTCCAGCCTGGGTGACAGAGAGAGACTCCGTCGTCTCAAAAAAAAAAAAAAAAAAAAAAAAAAAGATACAAAACCCCAAGACTAAAAAATGAAAACAATGAACGGATACATAAAACTCAAATTTCTCTATTACCTAGCAAGCAACTGGTTGAATACATTTGCAATATAGGTAACAAAAGTAGGATTAATATGCAGAAAATATGAGCAAGACAAATAACCCAAGAGTCAAACAGGCAAAATTTGTGAATAGACAGTACACAGAAGAAATGCAAATGATCAATAAGCATGAAAAGATAATCAACCTCCTTCGTTGTTGCAATTTTTTATTGCAATGTGACAAGCCACTCCAAACTTTAGTGACATAAAACAATCATTATATTATGCCAAGAACTCTGTGGGTCAGAATTTTGGACAGGTTACAATGCAGACGTTTGTCTCTGTGCCTTGGTGTCTGGGGTCTCGGCTGGAAAGACTCAAAAGCTGGGAGGTGACTGGACAGCGGGGGGCTGATACCTTCAGGAGCCATCTTCACTCACAAGTCTGTTGGTTGATGCTGTTGTAAGCTGGAGCTGTCTGCCAGAAACCTATGAAGCCTCTGTAAATGTCCTGAGATTCTTCACAACATGATGGCTGGGTTCCAAGATTGAGTCAGAACCAGCCATAAGTTGTATCATCTTTTATGACTTAGCTCAAAAGTCACTGAGTGTCAGTTCTGCCTTAACCACAGACCCTCTTAGTTTCAAGGGAAGGGGATATAGACCCTACCTCTTGATAGAAAAGTTGTCAAAGTCATATTTAAGAAGAGAATCAGGGATGGGAGATATTGTTGCAACCATTTTTGGAAAATCTATCTGGCAAATTAGTTATCAGGAAAAGGCATATTAAATACCTAGAAACCACTTACTTACCACGTATCAGACTGATAATTCTTCCCAGGTTCATTCATTCATTGGGAAAAAGAGCCAGAGGAGTGACAGAAAAGAAAGAAAAAAAAAATCATTTGAAATTTTAGCACTATTTTTCCCTATTAAATAAAAAACACCTTGGTCTGGGGGGAATTTTTTTTGTTCAAAATATTATTAAACTGGCCATTTTACTAGAATGTGAAAAAAGTATTTATTTTGTACACTCTGCTTAAATAGCAATCCATTTTCACATTTAAGTAAACCAAAGCAAAGAAATTCCCTGTTATTAATTTAATTCACTCTTCAACATTAAAACATATATGGTCAAGTGCCACACAACAACATTCCAGTTAATGACACTAGTGGTCCTATAAGATTGTAATGGAGCTGAAAAATTCCTATGACCTCGTGATGTTGTAGCCATCATAATGCCAGAGCAAAATGCATTGCTCATATGTTTGTGGTGATGCTGCTGTAAATAAACCTATTGCTTTGCCAGTCATATAAAAGTATAGCACATACAAATATATACAGTACATAATACTTTATAGTGGTAGTAAATGACTATGTTACTGGTTTATGTATTTATCTATACTATTGTAGGGACCCAGGGAAAACTTCTCCTTCACCCTCTGAAGGTTTGATGGAAATCAACTGACAAAACAGCAGATTAATAAAAAAGGCAAATACAAATTTATTATAATTTTACATGACTTGGGAGCCTTTAGAATGAAGACACAAAGATGAAGGAAACAGTCCATTTTTATACTTTGGTTCAACAAAGTATGTATAGCATGTGCAAATATGATTGGACAAAAAGGGTATGATCTAATGCTAATAGACTGAGTGGGAGAACCCAGTAAGGCCTGTCTGTTTAGATTCTTCCTGGCCTTTCTGTGCAGCGTTCCTTACTTCTGGGTAAGGGGCAGGAGCCTCTCTAGAATGGGGGGTCTTATGACCTACAGTCAAACAAGGTAGGTGAGATAATTTTTTATGGCCAATTTTTATACAGAAAGGCAGGGGTGAGGTGGGAGTTAAAGTAATATTTTAAAATTTTATTTTAAGTTAAAGTAATATTTTTAAGCTGGCTTTGGGGAAAAGGGTTCTGGTTTCTATGACGTGCCTTGGGAAGAAGGGATTCTAGTTTCAATGGCCAGCCTTAAGAGAGAATGAGTGGCCAGAAACAGGATGGCAAAAGATCAGGGAGAACCTTTTGCTTCTGAGGCCTTCCTTTTGAGGTACTGTTTTCTGAGCTCCAATACCATATTTTTTATCATTATTTTAGAGTGTACTTCTTAGACTTATTTTTTTTTTAGTTAGCTGTAAAATGGCCTCAGGCAGTTCCTTCAGTAAGTATTCCTAAAGAAGACATTGTTATAGGAGATAAACAGCTTCATGTGTGTTAATGCTCCTTGAAGACCTTCTAGTGGGACAGTACGGGGAGGTGGAAGACAGTGATATTGACGACCCTGACCCTGTGTATACCTAAGCTAATCTGTGTGTTTATGTCTTAGTTTTTAATGATAAAGCTTAAAAAGTAAAAAAAAAATTAAAAATACAAATTTATAAAATAAGGATATAAAGAAAATATTTTCGTACAGCTATGCAATGTGTGTTTTAAGCTAAGTGTTATTACAAAAGAGAAAGTTTAAAAAAAAGTTTACAAAGTACAAATGTTAAGGAAGCTAAGATTAATTTATTATTGAAGAAAATTTGTTAAAATAAATTTAGAGTAGCCTATGTGTACAGTGTATATAAAGTCTACAGAAGATTACAGCAATGTCCTAGGCCTTCACATTCATTCACCATTGACTCACTGACTCACCCACAGCAACTTTCATCTTGCAATCTCTATCTATGGTAAGTGTCCATACACATGTACCATTGTTTATCTTCTACACTGTATTTTTATTGTACCTTTTCTATGTGTAGATACACAAATACGTAACATGTGTTACAGTCACCTGTAGTATTCAGTACAGTAACATCTGTACAGATTTGTAGCCTAGGAGCAATCCACTAGACCATATAGCCTAGGTATGTAGTAGGTTATACTAGCTACATTTGTGTAAGTACTCTCTATGATATTCACATAATGCAAAATCACCTAATGATGAATTTCTCAGAACATATTCCCATTGTTTATGTTCTTCTGAACATAAATTTAATTGCATTTTTTCCCTGTAGCTTACAGTTGTCTTCTACTGGGAGTCAAATAAATACATTTAGAAGATGAGAAGAAAATAACAATAAGGATGTGTGCGTGTGTGTGTGTGTGTGTATATGTGTGTGTATGTGGAGATAATGTGTGTGCATGCATGCGACACACACACACAGAGATGTGGAGAATACACCTTATCTTGTATTTGAGCTTTTCAAAGAATATTTCTGACTTATATGCAAGAAAGTAAGAAACTCAAGTGTAGCTAACCTTGTCTGATTTTAGGAAGCCATACAAATATTATTTCAAAGAGAATTTTCCCATATAAAATAATTCACTACGTTTAATGAATAATTTATAATAAATGGTTTGATATTTCTTATGAAGTTAAGTGTTACTCTTTTTTTGTATCTTAAGTGCATAGTTTATATGGTAGTATTTTTAACAAGACTATTGAAACAGACTTCCTTTTCCAAAAATAAAATGTTTTATGTTCTTAGCCAAAACCATTTTGATATTTTTAAAATATTGTGAATGTGAATGTATGATTTTATATTGATTTACTTTACCCACAATATTTATATATTGTTCATTGTAGAGTTAACTACATGGTATGTAGGGGAAGATTTGCATATATTTCACACAGGCAGGTTGCTGTATATACTAATATGTGAGTGTAATCCCATTCTGATTTTGGTATACCTGCCACCATAGAAATAAAGCTGGCGATTCAGTGACTAGAAAAAGACAATGAAGAGTGCAAGCTTTTTCCAGCCATGCCTGAGTAACAGTTGGAGCTGCTTTCCCCACAACATTATCTTTTTGACACTTGCAAGAGAATAATATTCATTTGCAATTGCTAATGCAATACAAACACCAAGTTAGCAAATTAAAAAGTTAAATTTCTCAAAGCGACATTGACTCATCTATATTACATACAATAAATAAATATTTTATTTGCTTCATCATTCAATTCAATTTCCCAATATGCATTATTTGAAATAGAGGTAAATTTTTCTATGAGGTGCCTATTCTTATTTTCTCCTTTTTTCACTAAAGGGATTCAGGAAATGCCACCCCAAAATATGACACATTGGTATGTTTATTGCTTTGAACTGAGGACACTTGGGGAACAGTGGATGCCGGCAGAGGCTTCCTCTGAGCTCCCTTTAGTCTTCCTAAAGACAGCCCCCAAAAGGAACTAAATTGTCATGAATCCCCTCCCTGGGAATCTTATCAACCAAGGAAGATTAACTTCGATCACAGGAGAGGAGATTGGAGGTGGACACCATGACCCCACAGATTAACACCTATTTTTCTGAGGGCTGCTCCCAGATAACTTGTATTACGTGAGAGACCTTATGTCTGCGTAAGACAACCATTTATTCACCATACATTGTCTCCCCTTATCCTCCCATTGCTTGTGTTGCCACCATCCCCTGGAAGTGCCAAGCCCCTACTCCTTTCTGTACCTCAGGATGCTATATAATCATCTGATCCTTCTTCCAATCCCATATTTTATGGGACTCCCATGCATACATGTTATTAAATATGGTTTTCTCCTATTAATCTGTTTTATGGCAATTTAATTTGTAGCCCAGCCAAAGAACCTAGCAGACTGAAGGGAAGCCATTTTTCCTTACCCTACTGCACCATCCTAAATCTTTGTGCAAAAGGAGAAACTAGCACAGTGAAATTGTTTCTAAATTAGAAACCAGAGTGTAAATCAGTTCTCATTGCAGGCAGCTCTCAGTTTATGAACTCTCTGTTGGTAATCTGATTGTTTCCAATTAGGAATGGGTGTTCCCATAGAAATAATGTTGTAATCTGCCATCTCAGGCTTGCCTGAAAAAGTTTATCATTGATACAATAGAAATACTACCATTTGCACAAATGAAAGAGCAATACAATCAAAACAAAGCAATGTTTCTATTTATATTGGACATTGGTTATTAACAAAAAGCCAGATGAAGAAGGAGATGGAGTCTTTTGTGAGATTCGGAAGGGGACTTCGGGGAACTCTTACTAGTTCATAGTCCTTTATGACATCTAATTTCATTTTAAAAGAATGTGGTTTTTCTTGTCCCTGCAACTCTAAGCATTAAAGCCATTTTTAATTTATTTTGGGGTTTTTTTGTTCTCTTTGAAGCTAGGGGTTGTTTTGTTCTGTTGTTGTGGTAGAAGTTGGTGTCTTGTTCATAAATGGAATAAAAGAGAAAGGGAAGAGAAGATAATTTGGTGAGCTAAGAAGAGATCTTGTGACAACAGGACAAGAAATTGAAGAGGAAGAGAGAGAGTAACAAGACTGGAAATTTTAAAAGGATATATATACTTTAAGAAGGAAACTGGCTTAGTAGTGAGCTGTTAACTGAAAACTTCTGGTAAGAATGAGAGCAAGTGGGGAGGAGGTCATTTGTGGTTATAGTAGGGAGTAGGAGGTAGCAAGAGTAAACCATCAGATGGACATCAAGCCAGAATAATTTGCTTGCTGCCTGAGCTGGGGGTAAGTGCCAAGGTTAGTTGCGTAGAAGCTTGGAAAAATAGTCTGCATGGATATTCATAACCTAGGGTGAAACCAGATATGTATGAAGAGATTTCAGCAGGTAACTCAATAATTGTATGCTAAATGTCCATGAAATCAGTGAGACTAGCTCCATTTTAATGTCCCTGAGAAGACCCATGTATCACTCACAAGTGTGGGGAGAAAAGTTTGATCTTTGGAATTTGTTCTTTAAATAATGGAATGACATCCCATATGTCACCTCATCATCGAGATCACGCCCTAGCAGATGTACACATTTCCCTGCAAACAAAGAGTAAACAGGTGTGTGAGGTGGATATGTTAGCGCAGGAAAGCAAAAGGAGGAATTTATGTTTTTGACTCTAAAAATGGGAAAACCATGAGTCTTGAATATGTCATAAGAAAGAAGTAAACCACCTGCTATGTTCTAGGCATAAGAGGTGCTTTGGTTAATTGCATTAAATTATATACTAACTAATTAATAACAGACACCTGGTAAAAACAGATACCTTGTTAATAAGGAGAACTTTTGGATAACCTGGTCTATAATTGAAGTTATAGGTCAGAAGCAAACACCTTGAGGTTATGAAATATCATGTCTTTCCAGAGATGAGCCAGGACAACTTTTTCATTTTCTTTCTCTTTTGCTATCACAGCTGAATCTCCTTTTAACAATTGTAACTTCTTATACCAGTTAAGGCCATTTTATTGAACTCTTTTCCTGCAACAATAACAATAATTGTTATTATTTTTTGCCCCTATTTTGTGTCAGCTATATATTAATATATAAAATTTCTAATTTTCTAATCTTCATAACAGCCCTTTAAGGTAGATCATACTTCTGCTTAACAGATGGGGCTAACTGAAGCTCAGTGATATAAGATTTGTACATCACATTATATTATTATACAGTTATTTATACAGACACACACAGTCTTTTGCTGAGGGTCAGAAATGCAAGTGTTCAGTTAAAAATAACCTCCATCATCAAATTTTTCAGGTTCAGCATTTGCAGTGACGTGAATCTCAGGTGGGAAATAAGGGAAAATGATTGAAACCTATTTCAATCACCCATTTTCATATTATGGAAACAAAACAAAGATAATAATATGGAAACAAAGATAACCAAGAAAAATGAACAATATTTTACTAATGTGTGAACACCAGTACATTAATAAAATTAACTTTTAAAACATTGCAAAGAAATGGTAGGCTGATATGAAGATAAAAGCTAATTTGCAAAGAAATGGTAGGCTGATATGAAGATCAAAAATAATTGTGCTTTTCATCAAATTGAGATTTTTGTTAGTTATGAAAGCATAATTTTAAAATAAATAAAATGCTGTAGGCTTCCACAAGATGAAGGCTGTTGCCTCTTACACTTTTTATTCCCAAGTTTAGTTTATTTGCTTTGGCTTTAGCTAAGCTTTGTGAAGAGTTGTTATTATGTAAACAGAAAAGAAGCTAGTGGATCTGCAAAGTACAAAATGAACATATTGTTTAGTGTCCTAGAGCTTATACCACCAGATTCTGATGTTTTGCTTCAATACCACAGATTTCAGGTGTTTGCAAACAGTGCTTTCTGATTTCCAAAACTATAAAACTTTTTAATTAGAATATTAATTCTCCAAGTCATTGCCTTGGTATAAAGTATCTCTAGCCATAAATGTAAAAATATGTATCTGTATAAAAATATGAGGTGACATGTAATAAAGTTTTTATTGTTATGGATTTTAGAATGACTATATTGCTCATGAATGGCATGGCCATAAAGTAATTAGATGGATAGGCTGGGAAGAGTGGCTGTAAAATAAATATGTATGATATTCTGTGACATTTTGTATAATAGCACACACAATGTTTTATTTTCATGTTCTTGCCCATCTGAAACTCAGCATTTTTCCCAACAAAAAGAATGATGGCATAATAGTCTAAAAAGTTTAGAATGCATGGAAATAAGGAAAGCATTTTCCAACCATATTATTGTGGTTTGCAGACTTAGTGTATGTGTTCTGTAAAGAAAACAAGAAAGCCAAATACGTGAAGAGAAGATTCCCAAGGATAAAACTGATAATAACTAGAGTGAAATTATTTTACATGTCAGTCCAAAATTAATTCTAGACTCTGCTAAGTGGTTGAGAGATTTTTTATAGTGATTAGCATAGTGCTGGATGCATAGTAGGCCTACAATAATGTTGCTTGAGTTAACTAATCTTTCTTGGTTTCAGAAAACAGTTCCTGCGTTTAAAAATGTTCATTTTTTTCTAATCCCATGCTTAGAACGTGTTGCTATAGAAACGACTGAATGTCATTTCGGTTTCACAGGACCTCCGGATAAAGAGAAGAGTGGGTAGTTTGTAAAGCAGCAGACTTCATATGATTGGGAGAAAGTCATAAGATTTTATGAAAAACCAGCTACCGTCACATCTACATAGCTAGATAGTCTTTTACAATGGCTGCTGGGACAGAGTGGCAAAAGGCAGTAAAGCAGGGACTAGAGAGAAAACCCTTTTTTCCTTGACAGATTGTTCTTTATGATTAAAAAGATAGGGAATCAGCAGGGATTAGAAAACGCTCCCTGATTGCCAGGGGGAGAGGGGAGGGGACCTGATTAATCACAAATACTGGTAACACACTAACAGTTTGAGCCTTTACAATGCTGCAAAGGCCTTTTGGCATGACATCTGCCCCCAGTATGGCAGGATCACCTGTTTAATCACGGAAGCTGAAGAACTTGCTTCTAAAAAAATGCCTTGTTTATTTTTATCCTATGGGAACAAAAGTCATGATCTATTAAGTATTATTGTATTTTAGAAACTTCAAGTGTCTTTATGTTCTTTTCTTTCCTTTTAAATGCCACTTAAAGCATTGATTGTTAGGGTCCCACACAATTTGGGAAGCATTAAGATAACTTTATCTTGCTAGATATGAACTTTATTGTCCTATAACACCAATGCTTTCCTTCTGACAACTTCCAAAAAAAGCCAGCTATGCATAACTAGGCGGAATTTACCTGTTAGACGGTGTATTCAAGTCATGATTTGTATTCAGGTAATGATTAGCATTCTCCATAAACACGAGTGTAAAAACAGCTTAATCCTAAATGTTTACCAGAAAATAATCTCTAGTGAGCAGAAGGCAATACAGAGAAAGCCACTTCTTTGGTGCCCTTTATTTTTATACGATTGTGAGATAGGATTAAGAAATATAATGCTAGAGTAATGATCCAAAATTTGGTTTTCATTAATTTCCAAAGACAAATCTTTGAACATTCAGCCTTCTAAAGTAGAAAGATAACCAAAGAATTCCACAATGTATGTTAATTTTTCAAAAATTATTGCCCGAAATACTTTTGACATTCTTAATACTCCGTAAAGTTTTGTTTTGTTTTGTTTTTATTCTCTACTCTGAAAAGTGAAGTGTAGCCGTGCAGTTTACTAGACAAAGACGTGTCTTTGATTTAGTATCGTCCTGATATGCTTGACTATTAGGATGCCACCTCTAAAGGCTTTTTTAAAACGTTTCTAAAGTGTGATATACACATAGACACCCCTGAAGGCTTTTAAAATCAAGTACGGTCATGTTGGATTTTTGCAATACACTTGTTATGTGCTAGGTATTGTGTTAAACACTTACTATTATCTTGTTTAATTTTTTTTAACAATCTTTAAGGCAGGCAGTATTATTACTCTTATTTTACAGGAAAACAGATGCTTAGAGGGATTAAGTAGCTCGTCCAATGTCACACAGATAAATGTCAGAAACAGAATTCAAACCCAAATTTTTCTGACTCCAGAGATGCTTCTCAGGATGAAAGAAATATTTCCTCAGGGAAATCCCACATAGATATAACTGCTGAAGTCTGTCACCAATAAACTCTAGATTTATTGCTTGCCAAGACTATTTCTAAAACTGTGCTTCTAGCCCTAATGACTTCTATACCTATAGAGTCCAAGTTAACATTCAATTTATTCCAGGTGAAGTGAAACAAGACTGATTCCGTGCTTTTATAGGAAAGGAGTGACTCATGAGTGGTAAAATTTCAAACTCTCCTGGTCTGCTAGGAGAACTGTTTATGGAAAATGGGACTTTCAGCACTATTTCTACAGCCACTTTGAGTCAAGAGGAACCAGCTATTCTGGCTAAGATACTATTGTCCTTGTGTACCCACAAAGTGCACAAAGCTAGATGATCTAATCTAAGGAGTTGAATTCGTGCACAACATTTCTTGACGTTCTTGGAATTCACCATAAAAAATAAAGGTAATAACTAAATCAAGAGCTGTTTCCTTGATCAGAACTTAGTTATAATACAAATTGGCTTCCTAACTTCAGCTGTCCCTGAGCTAAAATGCTTTATATATGGTGGTAAATCAGGAAATTAGCGATCTTCTCTAATTAGCTGTAAACAACAAAACTTCTGGTGGGAGCTTAAAGGCTTTGAGCACCAAGTATCAATGTGAGCAGCATTTAACAATAACTATAATATTGGTAATAAATACCTTGATACACTTTTTAAAAGTGTTTATTTTACTATTAACATTAAAATCTTCATAATCATGCCCTCAAAGTCAGTATAATGTGAAGAGAAATGCATCTGAAAGCAGTACCTTATTTACTTATGAAAAAATAGACCTTTATAAATTGCAAAATATTCTTACCATACTCCTGGGCCCATGGATTTGGTTTTAAGAGGTTGATCTCTACTACTGCCTGAGAGTATAATGTTTCAACTTGGCTTCAGAGTGCTTTCCTAGAAGAAGCTAGATGAAAATATAGTTAAATATTGTTTCAGTCAGGGTCCCAGCAAGAAATAGATGGTATATGTGAAAGAGTTTTATGTAAAGAATTTAAGGGGCTGGGCACACTGGCTCACACCTGTAATCCCAACACTTTGGGAGGCCAAGGCGGGTGGATCATTTGAGGTCAGGAGTTCAAAACCAGCCTGGCCAACATGGTGAAATCCTGTCTCTGCTAAAAATACACACCCGCAAAATTAGCCAGGTGTGTGGCATGTGCCTGTAATCCCAGTTACTTGGGAGGATGAGGCAGGAGAATAGCTTGAACCCAGGAGGCGGAGGTTGCAGTGAGCAAAGATTGCACCTCTGCACTCCATCCTAGGCAACAGAGTGAGATTCTGTCTCCAAAAAAAGAATTTAAGGAAGGGGTATTTACAAAACAGTGGGCACGGTTAAGGCAGCCAGCCAGGGATGTTGTGGCACCTAGGAACTAGTAACAGCAGGAAGCCGTTACTACTCCTAGGCCTAAATGGGTGAGGGAAGAAAAGGTTACCAATCAATGCCCCATGAGAGTTGGAACCAGGGGAAAAGAGCCACCTGAAAGGAACTTTAGCTGTAAAGGAGCTCACCATTGCCAACACCTGGCAAAGCAGGAAGGAACAGGAGGAATCAATATCCCAGCCTCTGTCTCCTACCTGAGAATCCCCTGCCTATGTCACCAATTGACCAAAACCTTCCAGAAACCAGAACTCTAGGGAATTCAGCCCATAAAGGGGCCAGTCTCCCTGGGCACAGATCAAAGCAGAGAAGGGCAAGGAATGGACATGGGAGAGCAAGAATAACCAGCATAAATAGACTTCTTGTCTATTCAAAGAAAGAAGAGTCATGGGGAGGGAGGAAAGAAACTGATTATCCATGTAAATATTATAATATATGCAATACTAAAAAGTAAACAGGAAAAATTTTATAATATACAATAAATTTAGAATGCCTATATCACCCATTAATAGAAATCAATTTAATAACATGAAGAATCTAATAGACCAGTTAGCAAAATGACATGAACAGACTGTTTGCAAAAGAGAAAATATATATGGGCTTTTAGTCATATGAAGAATGTTTAGTCTTACTATATTAGAACCAAAGCGAGATCTATTCTTCCTAGCAAGTAACAAAAATTACTTAATATAAGCAAGGATACAGTGAAATGGGTCTTTTGTATACCACTAATAGAAACTATAAATTGGTATAGTGTTTCTGAAAATCTATTTAACAGTAATTCCACTTTCAATATCTATCTTAAGGAAATAATTAGAAACATAGATAAAAATCTGCACAAAGATGTGCATAATAGTGTTAATTATAAAGGAAAAAAGGAAACGAATGTTCAACATTAATGAAACGATTAACCAAATTATGCAACATACATTTCATCAAATATTATAGAGGCATTAAAATATTTACAATGAGGGCTTTTGGTCTTATGGTAAGCAGAAATTCGGTACGCAAAATTATATGTACGATGTGATCACAACCATGTTTAGAGAAAAAACATAACACACTAAAGGAAAAATATCAAAATGTTACTTATCAGAATAATGAAAATATGGTGATATTTTTACATTTTCCCTCTTTATATCCTTGCCTACTTGCCAAATTTTCTGAAATGAGGATATATTCATTAATATTTATTGAATGCCATTGTTGCACTAGTCACTGTCCTGGGACCTGGACATACAAAGCTCATGAAGCACAGTCTTTGCCTCAAGTTGCTTACAATCTAGTGTCTTATTTTTATATTGTAATTTCCAAAATAATAGGATAATAAAGCTATCATTTATTAAATTAGGGTGGATGAGGGGAAGTAGTATTCGATATATTTGGTCTCTTTCCCTCACACCACCTTTCAAAGCCAATAGGAATCCTGGCTGCCTATTACTTTAAAATATATCCAAAATCTCATGAAATGTAAACTAATAAAGTTTTCAGGAAAAAAAAAACCATAAGAAAATATCTTTATGATCTTGAAGTAGGCTATTGGCAAAAACATCTTAAGCAGGACACAGAAGTGTTAACTATAAATGAAAAAAATAAGTTAGGCTATATTAAAATTAAAACTCTATTCATCAAATCATACTATTAAGAGGGTTAAAAGGCAGGCCACTTAGGAAGGAAGTTTTAAGTAAATTCATATTTAAGATTCATATCCACAATATATAAAGAACTCCTATATCACAATAAGAAAAAGACAGCCCAAAAGAAAAATGGGCAAAGATTTGAACAGGCAGTGACAAAAGCATATATGAATGACAAACATGCAAGGATTTTCAAATATTAGTCACCATGGAATACAAATTAAAACGACAATGTAATAGTATCTCTACATCCCAGATTAAAAAGACAGATAGTAGCCAATTCTGGCAACAATGTGGAGCAACTCAGCTTTCATACACACCTGGTGGAAGTACAAACTGGTACAATCACTTTAGAAAACCATTTGGCAGTATTTACTAAAGCTGAATTAAGTGCGCTCCATGATTCCGGAATTCCAGTACTAGAGAATCACATACATATGTTCTTCACATTAAATATGTAATAACCAAAATCTACAAACAATCCCTATGTTCATCAACAGTGGAATGGATAAGTAACTTGTAGTGTATACGTATAAGCAATACTGTCCCACAATGAGAATTAATTAACTACAACTACATCTAACAACATTTATATAACAAACATAATATTGAGTGAAAGAAGCCAGACACAAAAAATATATACCATATCATTCTGTTTATGTAAAGTTCAAAAACAGCTAAAGTAATCTATGATGTTGGAATTGATTACTGATTACCTGCAGCAGGAAGAGAGTGCCTGGAAAAGGAGCAGAAGGTAGCTTCTGGGGTTCTGGTAATGCTCTGTTTCTTGATCTGACTGCCAGTTTTACAGATGTGTTCACTTTATGAAAATTCATCAAGGCATAATTTTCTCTATGTATGTTAAACCTCTATTAAAATTTACATTATATATATTATATATTTATGTGTACATATATTGTGTGCATGTATGTGAAATGACAACATTTCAACAAATGAAGTTTTAATGAGTTAGTTGACTTTTATTAGCAATTCATGAACCAGACAGCATCCAGTCTATAAAATAGACAAGAGCTCCACTGGCCATGAAGTCATGGGCAGTGAATTGGTTTAATAGAGAGCTCCACTGGCCGTGAGTTGGTTCTTGTAAGGCAACTTGAGCGGGAACAAGGAAACATCTAGTGCAAAAGGTAAATTGGTTAACATCAGGTTACTAAAGGTTACTCTCCTTGTATGGATTAAAGCAGAGGGGACTTGGTTATTATGCCCGCTCAGCTCAGGTTGACTGGGCCCTTTTAATTGGTTGCTGTGGATTTCCTTTTTTTTTTTTTTTTTTTTTTTTTTTTCAGAAAACTTACTTTCTCCCCTAATCTCTCAGGTCAGACCTTGCAAGTAAACAGCTTAGGTTTTGGTTTGGTGATCAGGAACATTAGCATGAGTGACTCCAGTTTAGGTTGGACTATTGGGACCTAGTACAAGATCTTAGCCCAAATCAATAGCCTCTCATAATTTTTATTTAAGAGTATATACACATATTCACACACACACACAAACACACACACACCTATATATTTCATCCAAACTGTAGCCACTTCTGGCTTCCTCTACTGTTCTCTCTAATCTAAGACTTCTGCAATAGCTGCTTGCCCCAGTTCCACTCTTGCACCCCTGTATCTTCACCAGTAGCCAGAATGAGAATTTTAAGACAGAAGGCATGCCATGTCTGTCCTTGGCTCATAACGAGTAGTAGCTTCCCGTGTAAATCCAAGTAAAATCCTCAGAGGTAACACATATCCCTGACAGTCTATATAAAATAGCCTCACTCAAACCTGTTATGTATCCCTTTACCTGCTTTATTTTTCCTTATAGTTCTTATCACCAACTGACATACCATTTACTTGATTATTTATTTATAATGGCCTTTCTGCCACGAGTATGTAGGCTACAGGAGAGCAGGGACTTTATCTTTCTGCTTTACAGCCTTCACGTCTAGAAAAGTGCATGGCATAATGGATGGATGGATGGATGAATAGATTGATTTGATTGTCACCAAAAAATGTAGAAAATGGGCAGAATATGTATTATTAGCCTTCTTTTATAGGTTTGGAAACTAAGAGAATAAAATTATGTGAGGAAACAAAGAAAATGAAATTACTTACTCAGTGTTATTCAGGAGTACAGCCAGGTCTTCTGTTCCTCTCTCTCACCCTCCTCTTCTCTCTCTTTTTCTCCCTCTGCTCTTCACCTCCCACAAACCCACTCATGCACACAAAGACACTGGCACAAGGAGAATGAAATAAGAACAATTTTCCTCATTAATGAAAGTATGCATGTGAACTACTCTGTTCACTACAATTTTTAGCCATTTTACTCATAGTCATAAAATATATTTTATATTATGTATGTGTAAGATATGTTATATATAATATATAACATATCCTACATATACGTACGTGTGTGTGTGTGTGTGTGTGTGTGTGTGTGTGTGTGTGTTATATAATCCTATTGGCTGAGAATTAAATGAGGATGACAGCCAGGTAAAGATTTATTATATTGGAATTGGGCCTTTTTATATAAGCCTTGATTTGTGGTCGTTTGTTCTATTTGAAAACATGATAAGAAAGAATATTGTTTTGCTTGCCAAAATATGTGGGACCTAGGGCTGGTTTCTTTAGTATTTTGCACTAGAAACTTTTTTAAACAAAGTAAGACTTTTTTTTAAGATCTTGCCCGCCTTGCAAGAATAAAAAACTTTTAAGCCTCTGAAGACAAAGTTTTTGTCAGTGAATGTCCAGAAATTGAGATTGTTTCAGTCAGAAGTCTCACCTCCCTGTTCTCGGAATGAATTGTAGAGCCCCTGGAATAGACAAGGGTGTGTAAGGTTAATTGCTGTTTCTATATAGATATCAATTACCTTTTCAAAGGGCTACCTAGTGGGATTTACCACTTGGCACTTTGTCTAAAAGCTAGCAAAAAGGGGGGTGGGGAGAGGACCAATTTGGTTGTCAACCTATTGATCCTTCAGTGTTGGTTAAAAAAAATAAAAGTTTTAGGCCCTTTCAGTTACTAAGTAGCTAACTACACAGTTTTGTTTTGTTTTTTTATTTAAAAAATGGGAAACAGTGATTATGTGCTCAGCTGCTAGCATTAATGTTTCACCTCCTCCCTCTTAGAAAACAGTAACTATAATATCAAGCCATAACTTTAAAAGCAGATTAAATTAAAAAATGAAGTTCCAAATTCATTGAGTGTAATGAGGCCAATGTCAGATCATTCGTTCATCAAGTAGTTACAGCTTTTAATAAGGCAGAAAATTATAGTTAAAGGGAAATATGGCTTTTATTTATGAATACAAAATAGCCATTAATGTCACAGGAGAAAGCAATGTCAAAGTTTATTCTGAAACTCAGACTTGCAGATGAGCAGAGGAAAGTATAGGGTAGTAAGAATATATGTGTAACTCTAATATGGGAGCTCTACCTTCATCCTGACCACGCAATCTGGAAGCTTTGTAACCTAAAGCAGGTTAGTTAACCAATCTGAATCTCACCTTCCTGGGGATGTAAAATGAGGATGGCTTTTGTGAAGACTAAATGAGGTCATGGTTCTAAAAATGTTTTGTAGCTGAAATAATGTATAGGATTATTACTGTGCTATAATAATTTATTGAATCCCTTTCCTGCCTCTCTCTACCTCCTAAAGCCACTTCTGTAAGATTTAACTAAAGTTTCCCCCTCATCCTTGAGGTTCACTTATCCCTACTGTTGTAGATTAGGATATTTTACCCCAATTAAATGAGAATTTCTCATATGTTCCATGTCTGAATGAGCCTTCCTAAGGCAGAACAGAACTATGACCTTCTCTGAAACCCAAACTATTAATGTTGTACATACATAAACAAGCAGCTCCCTGAGACCTTAAAGGTAGGGGTATTGGAGATAGAAAGTAAAAAGTAGAAGAAATGTCTTCTTTCCCCACCTCAAGATGGAACACTGTCCCATTTTCCTAAGTATTTTTTCTTGTCCCATTTTCCTAAATATTTTTTCTATCTATAGTAGAAAAAGTTACTATTTAATGAACACTTATTATATGCCAAGCACTGTGCTATGCATTATTTCATATAATCCTCACAACAGACTAATGCATTCTGTACTATTATTGCCAGTATAGACAAGAGAACTATAATCAGAGCAATTAAGTAGTTTGACCAGTGTCACATATCTGGTAAGTGGAGAGTCAGGATTTGAACCTAAACCTGCTCAATTCCTTTTCCAGGCTTTTCCTATTATTTACCTCCTACATTTCAACTTCTTTTGTGAAGAAGTTGACACAGACATTATTTCTTTGCATGTCTGTGTTTGCCTTTCTATCCCTTTAAAGTTTCATCTTTGGTGTGCTTGTAATGAGTAGGGTAGGGACCTATAAACAAAGATGACTAAGGTGTGGTCCCTCTGCTTAAGTAGAGGGACTTAATTATTGGCATCTTTCTGCCCATAATCCACTGGCAGAAAAATGACAGGCAAACAAATCACTCTATGACATGGAAGAATTTGTGTGCATGTGTGTATGTGTGTGTGTGTAGCAGTTTTTGTTTGTGTTCTGCAACTTTTAAGTTCAGGTGTACATGTGCAGGATGCTCAGGTTTGTTACATAGGTAATCATGTGCCATGGTGGTTTGCTGCACAGATCATCCCATCCCCTAGGTATTAAGCCCAGCATCCATTAGCTCTTCATCCTGATGCTGTCCCTCCCCAATGCCCCCATCCCCAACAGACCCCAGTGTGTGTTATTCCCCCCTTGTATCCATGGAATAATTTAAGAGGTCATAACAGATGGAGCATCAGCCTCCTCATCTGTAACTTGGAAATAATACTCTACCTTTCAAAACTGTTGTTATGATAGAGTGAAATGCTTATGTCAAGTATATAGCAAATACCCTAACTTGTAGTAAGGGGTCAGTGTATGGAATCTATAATGTGGCCAGACAGTCCAAGGACTGGGATACCAGACTAGAAAAGCAATTTGGAGCCAGATTTTGAGAACCTTGAACGCCATTCCAAAGAATGTGGACCTTCAGCTTGATAAAAACAATTTGCCAAAGTTAATAATTATTCCAAAAAGAAATTAGAGCTGGTGCTATTTTACATTACCTTTCAAAATTCATTGTAAGTGAGATGGAGTTGGTGGAAGCTGTTGTAACTGGTTTAAAGGAATTTTATATTTGATGTGCTAAAAGGAAAGATGGTATTTTTAAGTTTGATGCCTTTTATTTTTTCTTCCACAGTAATTAGTGAATGCCAAAGGCAGCAACTGGAGGCTGTGAGCTACTCCTCTCGATATGCTCTGGGCCTCTTTTATGAAGCTGGTACGAAGATTGATGTCCCTTGGGCTGGGCAGTACATCACCAGTAATCCCTGCATACGCTTCGTCTCCATTGATAATAAGAAGCGCAATATAGGTCAGTACCCCTATTATTTCCCTTAAATACAGCAACAATGGTGGGTGTAGATCATGAAAAATGCTGTTTAATTGAGTGTTGCCATTCTGAACAGAGCAAGCATTTAACTCCAAGCCACAGGGGATAAAATTTAATGTCACATTTGGCCAGTAATAAAATACACAGTGAAACCAGCAAAGTTTTTCAGAATTTCATTCACCACATGGTTTATATTACTGAGTTCATGAAAATAGTGTCAGAAGGTTTAAGATTTCAAAATGGCCCAAGTTCTATTGCTTTAATATGGATGCATCTATATGCACATGTATCTCTCATTTGTTTCTTGGTGAAGTTTGTTTTTGTTTGTTTGGTTTGGGTATTTTTTTTTAATTTGATAAGTGCTGCTCTTCCACTCCCTCGGCTAGAAATTAAAGGAGAATTTTACTATGTTATGAAAATCCTTCATTTCAATATAATTTTATTGTTTATTTACATTTTATCTGGGGAAAAATGGTAAATTTACTTTATAAACAATGTAACGGGTAAAATGTTTTATGAGAGCTTCACTAGAATGTGGTGAATCTACACTCCACCCTTTTTGTTGAAGATAGTTATAAAAATTAGATTTGAATTGTAAGAAAAACATAACTGATTCCTTTTAGGCAAAAAGGTGAAGAAAGTGTATTCTCATTTGTAGGACTGCAGTGATCCCTGAGAATGCTGCTTTTTGTGGAATAACCGTTAAGGATGTAAAATGACTAAAACTCTTGAATTGTCCTGTCAATCTGTTACAGTGTTTTATGGGACAGTAATGGCTTCACCAAGCCATTAGTTAGAAGTCTGGCTTGATAAAATCACCAACTAATGTCTCTTGGCTCGCCAGACCTTCATAATGATAGAACTGGGCTGGAGTATGGTTTTTATATCAGAGCTCATGATCTTAGAAAAATGTTTCTTTTATAACTTAAAACTCCCTTAGGGCTGGACTGTTTATGTTAACATGATACCACATATATGTACAATCAGCAGTTCATAAAATGCCTTAGAACTTCAATGGACTATTTTTAACTCTACAACTGCTTTGTTCTGAGAAAAGGAGACTAACCCTTGATCTTTTCATGTTATATGCCATGAATTAGACATTATCCTGTGTATATTTCATCATAAGATATGATATCTGTCAGGGTGTATTAAGTTGTCTATAACAGAAAAAAAAATTTAAACTTGTTTAATAGCATAAAGACATTTGTTATATTATCTGCTATGGACTGAATTGTGTCTCCTCCACAGACATAGGTTGAAGCCCTAATCCCAATATGGTTGTATTTAGAGATAGGACTTTTAGGAGGTAATTAAGATTAAATGAGGTCCTAAAGGTAGCGCCCTAACCCTGTGGGGTTGATGACCTTAAAAGAAGAGCAAAAGAGAAAGCTCTCTCTTTCTATCCCGGCTTGCACACACCATGTGAGGACATAGTAAGAAGGCAGCTGTCTGCAAGCCAGGAAGATAGCCCCAGCTAAGCCAAATCTACCAGCACCTTGATCTTGGACTTCTCAGCCTCCAGAACTGTGAGAAATTTCTGTTGTTTAAGTCACCCAGTCTATGGTATTTTGTTATGGTAGCCTGAGTTGACTAATACATTATCTAAGGAGAAGATTGGAGAGACTTCAGGGTTCATTGATTCAGGAACTGAGCAATCTCTTCAAAGACCTAGGTTTTATCTTTCTCTGCTCTCTTCCACTCCCAATACTGACATCCTCAGAGGACTGGCAGCAAGATGGCAATAGCTGTTGGAGTCACACTGAACTTAACAACATGCTTAGGAATGAAATGAACTATCACTGGCTCTGTTCCTTTCTAAGAATCAAGGAAATCTTGGGAGGCCAAGGTGGGTGGATCAAGAGGTCAGGAGTTCAAGACCAGACTGGCCAATGTAATGAAACCCTATCTCTACTAAAAATACAAAAAACTAGCTGGGCATGGTGACAAGCGCCTGTAATTCCAGCTACTCGGGAGGCTGAGGCAGGAGAATCACTCTTGAACCCAGGAGGCAGAGGTTGCAGTGAGCAAAGATCGTGCCACTGCACACCAGCCTGGGTGACAGTGCAAGACTCCATCTCAAAAAATAATAACAATAAATAATAATACTAATCAAGGAAATCTTTACAGAAGCCCTTTAATAGACTTCTCCTCATGTGCCACAGGCCAGAATTGGATTACTTGAGTACTCCAAAACCAGGTGCTAGCAAAGAGGGTGGAAGCAATGTGATAAGCCTATACAAGTCCAGTTCTACTCCTGGAACTGGTACTAGGGTCATCTTTCCTTTAGTTATGAGGAGTGCTACCTGAATAAAATAGAGTTTTGTTAGGAAGAAGGAAGGAAGTACTAAATGCTGGATTAGCAATCAATAATGTCCATTATCTTCAAGTAGAGTCACATCTTATATGGGAGGTAAAGTTCTAAAGTTGTCACATAAAAAGAGTCATGTACATTCAAAATTACCTTCAAAGTTTCTTAAAACCACATGACATTTTAGAGAATGATGTAACATCTTTCAGTAAATTCAGTACAACTATTTTCCCAACATTCAATAGATTTCTGTTTCTTTGGTGAAGCCAGATTAAAAGTTGATTTGGATTTATAGGACCCAGTGATATTTTCTACTATGAAAGGCACACAGGAAGGAAAGAAATAGCAGAGTCATATCTCCTAACGGACTATACATCTGCTATAAAAATGGAGTGGGATGGTGGGTAAAAGCACCCACAGTACAGTGCAGTAATAATTTATAAAATTATGCAAATTTGAAAGAGTACAACATAAAATATTAATAAATTATCTCATGATTGGAAGCATTTGAAATAATAGAATTTTAAAAATTTTTTATATCAGCAATCATACAATATTGAAAGGAGTGGCTACATGAATTGGAAACCATGTTTTTGCTAAAGCCCATGGTGGTGCCACTTCAGCAAGCAAAGAAATACCTGCTTTTCTTTGACAACTGTATGGGAAATTAATCTTCAATTATGCGAGTTTTAAATTAAGTGAGACAGAATGCCAGTAATGGCATTTCATAACGTAAAATCTAACTGCTTTGCATTTAAACTATTTTTTTCTCACTATCTGGGGGCCAGGGTACTAAATGGGTCTAGTTGAATTCGCATACTACAAATGCCCATGTAATGTAACTTCACTCTATTTTATTGATATTGATATTTAACTAGGACAGTAAGAGTTTTTTTGTTTTTTTTTTTTAATGTAGTTTCGCTCTGTGGCCCAGGCTGTAGTGTAGTGGCAAGATCTCTGCTCACTGCAACCTCTGCCTCCTGAGCTTAAGCGATTCTCCTGCCTCAGGCTCCCAAGTAGCTGGGAGTACAGGTGCCCGCCTCCATGCCCAGCTAATTATTTTTGTACTTGTAGTAGAGACGGGGCTTCACCAAGTTGGCCAGTCTGGTCTTGAACCCCTGACCTCAAATGATCCAACTGCCTTGGCCTCCCAAAGTGCTGGGATTACAGGCATGAGCCACTGTACCCGGCCAGGAGATGTTTCTTTATGCCAGTAACACTACCCCACACCCTTGCTTTATGTGGGGTGTTTGATTGAATCAATAATTAATACTACAATGTACATACACAACCAATGAAACATTTGTGTTCTGTCAAGGTAGAGAAGCAACAAGATAAACAAAGTCTGGCATGGTTGAGACCACAAAATACAGTCAGTTGTTAAGTCTTGAAGAGAGCTAGAGGATATAGAAGTAGCCCAAAGATCAAGGCATAATAATTTGTTAGAAGTCAGGAATAGGTAGTACAGTAGATGTAGAAAGCCACAGCCAGAACCAAAATTTCCTTAGGCAGAGGGAGTAGATTCCAAGATGTACTAGACCGACTTCAAGTAACAATAGTTATGAATATGCCCCAATATCCTTGTTTGTGTTTCCCAAAATGTGTTCAGTGGAACACTATTTCCTTGAGTTGCTCTTTGAAAAAGGGCTCTGTCATCAAATAAATTTGCAAAATACTACAGACATTTATTTTGGAGAATATCAGGACATATTATCTTTTTAAAGGATATTCCTACAGAAAAGACACCTTTTTACTTCTTTTAATCTAGAATTTCCTAAATGTACTTTATCATGGGATATTGTATTTCAGCACCAAACCTACTAACATCCCACAGAAATGGTTCCCAAGTATATATTTGAGAAACCCTGACTTGATGTCACCTTTCATGCTTCACACCTGGGCAGGAATTGTAGGCCAGATAATTGGAGTGGGAGGTTCGTTCCTGAAGGCATCAATTGGGAAATACTTGAGATTTTTTTTAGAAATGAAAGAACCCTTGTTGCCAATAAACTCAAATCTTCATGGAGTTAAAATTTGAGAAAATTTATGTTAAAATAAGGTGTTTATCATATTAACTTGGGTAGTTTTTAAAATTAGTAAGATTGGCGTAGTGGGAAGTATTTGGACTCACAAGACCTACATTCAGATTCTGGTTCTGAAAAATGCTACTGTTGTACTTTTGTATAGGTCTTGTATTTGTAACGCTAGTGTTTTTAGTAAACATACCCAAAAACTTTAATGGCCTGAACATGACTGAGGTTTATTTCTTGCTCACCTAAAGCCCAAACAGGTGTTTGTGATTGATAGGTAGCTTTCTTCAAAGCTTTATTTAGGAACCCAGGCTCCATCCATTTTTTGACTCTGCCAACTTCATCAGGTAACTACCAGAGTCAGTGTGCTCATAGGCATCAATCTGTGGATGGAAAGAGGATGGAGGAGAGCCAGAGGAGTTTTTAGGGGTAGGCCTAGAAATGGTGCACCTCAAGTGTGCTCACATTCTGTTGGTTAGGACACAGTTATGTGACCACACTTATTTGGAAGGAAAGCTGGAAATGTAGTCTACCTATATATGTAGGAAGAAGAAAAAGTGGATTTGGTGAACATCTAGCCAGTTTCTACTAAAACATTTAGTATAAATTGTTCTGTAAAAGGAACAGATTATACCTGTGTGAATGATAAATAGGTTTCAACACAAGTGAGAATCATTCAATAAGTAGTTGCCACCTAGAACAACAACTAAGAATGATTCCCAGGCTGGGTATAGACTCAGTAGAAAAAGATCTTCCAACAATCAGCAATATCTGTCATGTAGAGAACATAAGGAATAGTGCCACAAGTGAGATACATTTACCTCTCAAGAAGATCTCTGAGGTCCATCCCAGGATCTTAAATTTGAAGTTAGACTGTCCAGGAGTCCAGACTCAACTCAGTTCCACCATTTACTAGCTGTGTAACTTTGGGTAAATTAAACTATCTGTTGCCTCCTCAATAAGATAAGTAAAATAATACCATACCAATACCAAAGGGTTACTGAGAATTAAATGATTCGAACATATGAAGACTTTGTGTGGCATTTAGAAAGTAAGTATTTATGGTACGTATTATTATAATTAACAGTTCCAGTCTTCAATTTGGATATTATAGTCTCTGAAGCAAAGGGCATAAATATAAAAGTCTAACTTAGGTGAATGCAGCCTCTGTTACCAATACAGATAGGAGTTAGGGCAACTTAAATAAATAAAATGAGTAAGCAACCCTGAAAATGATCAGAAATTTAGCATTCTTTCCTTGTCACCATCTGAGGAGTGTTAATGATCAATAAAATAGCCAATAGGCAGCAATCTGAGGAGATTAAGACAATCTATCTGAATTCTAGAGATGTGATGGCCAATAGCCAATAGTCAGCAATCTGAGGAGATTAAGACAATCTATCTGAATTCTAGAGATGTGATGGCCAATAGCCATAATGACATAGTTTTCAATATCTTATCAAAGAAAATAATCCAACTCATCTTAAAAGAAGAAAAGCAAATGAACAAACTTAGAATGTATTCATAGAATTTATCCTCACAAGAATTTTATTGTTAGAATCTTTGAGTAACAAACACTAATATAATATATAATACCTTCAATGGCTGTTTTGCAAAATATGCAGAAGTGTTATTCCATATGGCTATTTATTACGTCAACTCTTTATAAAAAGAAGGACATAATATGAGATGTTATAAATAACTGGGATGGGCCTGAGGCTTTAAATCCTGTCACCTTGTGACACTTAAAAGAGTTCATGATTATTCCAATTAAACAAATAGCCGTGAACTTTATAACACAAAATTGTCCACTTAAGAATTGAATCGGGGGGCAGTTCCAAGACGGCTGAATAGGAACAGCTCCAGTCTACAGCTCCCGGCATGAGTAACGCAGAAGACAGGTGATTTCTGCATTTCCAACTGAGGTACCGGGTTCATCTCACTGGGGCTTGTTGGACAGTGGGTGCAGAATGGTGGGTGCAGGACACCGAGCATGAGCCAAAGCAGGGAGAGGCATCGCCTCACGTGGGAAGCGCAAGGGGTAGGGAATTCCCTTTCATAGCCAAGCAAAGCTGCGACAGACAGCACTTGGAAAATCAGTCACTCCCACCCTAATACTGCTCTTTTCCAATGGTCTTAGCAAACGGCACACCAGGAGATTATATCCCGCGCAAGGATCAGAGGGTCCCATGCCCACGGAGCCTTGCTCATCTCTCGTTGCCAGCACAGCAGTCTGAGATCGAACTGCAAGGCAGCAGCGAGGCTGGGGGAGGGGTGCCCACCATTGCTGAAGTTCGAGTAGGTAAACAAAGCGATCTGGAAGCTCGAACTGGGTGGAGCCCACCGCAGCTCAAGGAGGCCTGCCTGCCTCTGTAGACCCCACCTCTGGGGGCAGGGCATAGCCAAACAAAAGGCAGCAGAAACCTCTGCAGACTTAAATGTCCCTGCCTGACAGCTTTGAAGAGAGTAGTGGTTCTCCCAGAATGGAGTTTGAGATCTGAGAACGGACAGACTGCCTCCTCAAGTGGGCCCCTGACCCCCGAGTAGCCTATCTCGGAGGCACCCCTCAGTAGGGGCAGACTGACACGTCACACGGCCAGGTATCCTGCTGAGACGAAACCTCCACAGGAACAATCAGACAGCAACATTTGCTGTTCAGCAATATTCCCTGTTCTGCAGCCTCCACTGCTGATACCCAGGCAAACGGTCTGGAGTGGATCTCCAGAAAACTCCAACAGACCTGCAGCTGAGGGTCCTGACTGTTAGAAGGAAAACTAACAAACAGAAAGGACATCCACACCAAAACCCCATCTGTACGTCAGCATCATCAAAGACCAAAGGTAGATAAAACTGCAAAGATGGGGAAAAAACAGAACAGAAAAACTGAAAATTCTAAAAATCAGAGCGCCTCTCCTCCTCCAAAGGAATGCAGCTCCTCACCAGCAACGGAACAAAACAGGACAGAGAATGACTTTGACAAGTTGAGAGAAGAAGGCTTCAGATGATCAAACTTCTCCAAGCTAAAGGAGGAAGTTCTAACCCATGGCGAAGAAGTTAAAAACCTTGAAAAAAGATTAGACAAATGGCTAACTAGAATAACCAATGCAGAGAAGTCCTTAAAGGACCTGATGGAGCTGAAAACCATGGCACAAGAACTACGTGACGAATGCACAAGCTTCAGTAGCCGATTCAATCAACTGGAAGAAAGGGTATCAATGATGGATGATCAGATGAATGAAATGAAGCGAGAAGAGAAGTTTAGAGAAAAAAGAATAAATAGAAACAAACAAAGCCTCCAAGAAATATAGGACTATGTGAAAAGACCAAATCTACGTCTGATTGGTGTACCCGAAAGTGAAGGGGAGAATGGAACCAACTTGGAAAACACTCTGCAGGATGTTATCCAGAGAATTTCCTGAACCTAGCAAAGCAGGCCAACATTCAAATTCAGGAAATAGAGAGAACGCCACAAAGATAATTGTCGAGAAGAGCAACTCCAAGACACATAATTGTCAGATTCACCAAAGTTGAAATGAAGGAAAAAATGTTAAGGGCAGCCAGAGAGAAAGGTCCGGTTACCCTCAAGGGGAAGCCCATCAGACTAACAGCTGATCTCTCGGCAGAAATTACAAGCCAGAAGAGAGGGGGGGCCAATATTCAACATTCTTAAAGGAAAGAATTTTCAACCCAGAATTTCATATCCAGCCAAACTAAGCTTCATAAGTGAAAGAGAATTAAAATCCTTTACAGACAAGCAAATGCTGAGAGATTTTTGTCACCACCAGGCCTGCCCTACAAGAGCTCCTGAAGGAAGCACTAAACATGGAAAGGAACAACTGGTACCAGCCACTGCAAAAACATGCCAAATTGTAAAGACCATTGATGCTAGGAAGAAACCGCATCAACTAACGAGCAAAATAACCAGCTAACATCATAATGACAGGATCAAATTCATACATAACAATATTAACTTTACATGTAAACAGGCTAAATGCTCCAATCAAAAGACAGAGACTGGCAAATTGGATAAAGAGTCAAGACCCATCAGTGTGCTGTATTCAGGAAACCCATCTCACTTGCAGAGACACACATAGGCTCAAAATAAAGGGATGGAGGAAGATCTACCAAGCATACCAAGCAAATGGAAAACAAAGGCAGGGGTTGCAATCCTAGTCTCTGATAAAACAGACTTTAAACCAACAAAGATCAAAAGAGACAAAGAAGACCATTACATAATGGTAAAGGGATCAATTCAACAAGAAGAGCTAACTATCCTAAATATATATGCACCCAATACAGGAGCACCCAGATTCATAAAGCAAGTCCTTAGAGACCTACAAAGAGACTTAGACTCCCATACAATAATAATGGGAGATTTAACACCTCATTGTCAACATCAGATAGATCAACGAGACAGAAACTTAACAAGGATATCCAGGAATTGAATTCAGATCTGCACCCAGCAGACCTAATAGACATCTACAGAACTCTCCACCTCAAATCAACAGAATATACATTCTTCTCAGCACCACACTGCACCTATTCCAAAATTGACCACATAGTTGGAAGTAAAGCACTCCTCAGCAAATGTAAAAGAACAGAAATTATAACAAACTGTCTCTGAGACGACAGTGCAATCAAACAAGAACTCAGGATTAAGAAACTCACTCAAAACTGCTCAACTACATGGAAACTGAACAAGCTGCTCCTGAATGACTACTGGCTACATAATGAAATGAAGGCAGAAATAAAGATGTTCTTTGAAACCAACGAGAACAAAGACACAACATACCAGAATCTCTGGGACACATTTACAGCAGTGTGTAGAGGGAAATTTATAGCACTAAATGCCCACAAGAGAAAGCAGGAAAGATCTAAAATTGACACCCTAACATCACAATTAAAAGAACTAGAGAAGCAAGAGCAAACACATTCAAAAGCTAGCAGAAGGCAGGAAATAACTAAGATCAGAGCTAGCTAAGCTAAATAACTAAGGAGATAGAGTTATTAAAACCCTTCAAAAAATCAATGAATCCAGGAGCTGGTTTTTTGAAAAGATCAGCAAAATTGATAGACCGCTACCAAGACTAAAAAAGAAGAAAACAGAGAAGAATCAAATAGGTGCAATAAAAAATGATAAAGGGGATATCCCCACTGATCCCACAGAAATACCAAGTACCATCACAGAATACTATAAACACCTCTACGCAAATAAACTATAAAATCTAGAAGAAATGGATAAATTCCTGGACACATACACCTTCCTAAGACTAAACCAGGAAGAAGTTGAATCTCTTAATAGACCAATAACAGGCTCTGAAATTGAGGCAATAATTAATAGCTTACCAACCAAAAAAAGTCGAGGACCAGACAGATTCACCACCGAATTCCACCAGAGGTACAAGGAGGAGCTGGTACCATTCCTTCTGAAACTATTCCAATCGGTAGAAAAAGAGGGAATCCTCCCTAACTCATTTTATGAGGCCAGCATCATGCTGATACCAAAGCCTGGCAGAGACACAACAAAAAAAGAGAACCTTAGGCCAATATCCCTGATGAACATCGATGCAAAAATCCTCAATAAGATACTGGCAAACCAAATCCAGCAGCACATCAAAAAGCTTATCTACCATGATCAAGTGAGCTTCATCACTGGGATGCAAGGCTGGTTCAACATATGCAAATCAATAAACGTAATCCAGCATGTAAACAGAACCAAAGACAAAAGCCACAGGATTATCTCAATAGATGCAGAAAAGGCCTTTGACAAAATTCAACAACCCTTCATGCTAAAAACTCTCAATAAATTATGTATTGATGGGATGTATCTCAAAATAATAAGAGCTATTTATGACAAACCCACAACCAATATCATCCTGAATGGGCAAAAACTGGAAGCATTCCCTTTGAAAACTGGCACAAGACAGGGATGCCCTCTCTCACCACTCCTATTCAACATAGTGTTGGAAGTTCTGGCCAGGGCAATCAGGCAGGAGAAAGAAATAAAGGGTATTCAATTAGGAAAAGAGGAAGTCAAATTGTCCCTGTTTGCAGATGACATGACTGTATATCTAGAAAACCCCATCATCTCACCACAAAATCTCCTTAAGCTGATAAGCAACTTCAGCAAAGTCTCAGGATACAAAATCAATGTACAAAAATCACAAGCATTCTTATACACCAATAACAGACAGAGAGCCAAATCATGAGTGAAATCCCATTCACAATTGCTTCAAAGACAATAAAATACTAGGAAGCCAACTTACAAGGGATGTGAAGGACCTCTTCAAGGAGAACTACAAACCACTACTCAACAAAATAAAAGAGGACACAAACAAATGGAAGAACATTCCATGCTTATGGATAGGAAGAATCAATATCATGAAAATGGCCATACTGCCCAAGGTAATTTATAGATTCAATGCCATCCCCATCAAGCTACCAATGACTTTCTTCACAGAATTGGAAAAAACTACTTTAAAGTTCATATGGAACCAAAAAAGAGCCTGCTAACAAAGCTGGAGGCATCACGCTACCTGACTTCAAACTATACTACAAGGCTACAGTAACCAAAACAGCATGGTACTGGTACCAAAACAGCGATATAGACCAATGGAACAGAACAGAGCCCTCAGAAATAATACCACACATCTACAACTATCTGATTTTTGACAAACCTGACAAAGACAAGAAATGGGGAAAGGATTCCCTATTTAACAAATGGTGCTGGGAAAACTGGCTAGCCATATGTAGGAAGCTGAAACTGGATCCCTTCCTTACACCGTACACAAAAATTAATTCAAGATGGATTAAAGACTTAAATGTTAGACCTAAAACCATAAAAACCATAGAAGAAAACATAGGCATTACCATTTAGGACATAGGGATGGGCAAGGACTTCATGTCTAAAGCACCAAAAGCAATGGCAACAAAAGCCAAAATTGACAAATGGGATCTAATTAAACTAAAGAGCTTCTGCACAGCAAAAGAAACTACCATCAGAGTGAATGGGCAACCTACAGAATGGGAAAAAATTTTTGCAATCTACTCATCTGACAAAGGACTAATATCCTGAATCTAGAAAGAACTCAAACAAATTTACAAGAAAAAAAACAACCCCACCAACAAGTGGGCGAAGGATATGAACAGACACTTCTCAAAAGAAGACATTTGTGCAGCCAGCAGACACATGAAAAAATGCTCCTTATCACTGGCCATCAGAGAAATGCAAAACAAAACCACAATGAGATATCATCTCACACCAGTTAGAATAGTGATCATTAAAATGTCAGGAAACAACAGGTGCTGGAGAGGATGTGGAGAAATAGGAACACTTTTACACTGTTGGTGGGACTGTAAACTAGTTCAACCCTTGTGGAATACAGTGCGGCGATTCCTCAGGGATCTAGAACTAGAAATACCATTTGACCCAGCCAACCCATTACTGGGTGTATACCCAAAGGAATATAAATCATGCTGCTATAAAGACACATGCACACATACATTTATTGCAGCACTACTCACAATAGCAAAGACTTGGAACCAACCCGAATGTCCAACAATGATAGACTGGATTAAGAAAATGTGGCACATATACACCATGGAATACTATGCAGCCATAAAAAAGGATGAGTTCATGTCCTTTGTAGGGACATGGATGAAGCTGGAAACCGTCATTCTCAGCAAACTATCGCAAGGACAAAAAACCAAACACCGCATGTTCTCACTCATAGGTGGGAATTGAACAATGAGAACACTTGGACACAGGAAGGAGAACATCGCACACCAGGGCATGTCATGGGGTGGGAGGAGGGGGGAGGGATAGCATTAGGAGATATACCGAATGTAAATTATGAGTTAATGGATGCAGCACATCAACATGGCACATGTATACATATGTAACAAACCTGCACGTTGTGCACATGTACCCTAGAACTTAAAGTATAATAAAAATGTATACATATTAAAAAAAAAAAAGAATTGAATGAACATGGAACCATTTGAACTTGCAGAAAATGCAATCCAGACAGGCAAAACTTTTTAAGTAGAACAAAAAAGGAAGACTGAGAAGAAGGGAAAAGGAGAGAAGGAAAAGAAAAGAAGAACCATAATCATGAAAAACTGTCAGGTTTCCCGTTTGGGCTTTTGTTTTAAAATATCAGACCTCTCAGATAAATTAGTAATCCTCATCTTAAAATAATAAGCAGTGACTAGTAATCATGACATTTTGTCATTTATATAATAGACATAGTTATTTGTAATTCAGTTATGTAACTGATGTTTTCCCTATAAATCTGTTAAAGCAATTTAATTAACAGCTGTCAAATACTAATTGCAAATATTCATCTCATTATTTTAGTGTTGTCATAGAATATCATGTGATAGTAATATCAGATCTTGGGGTGGTCTCTCAGGAAGAAAAATATATATATATACACAATGTATATATGTACTTATATACAATATGTGTATATACACATATATACATACGTAAAAATAAATATTTTTTGTTATTTAAATTAATAGGCACAAATTATAAAATAGAATATTGTGATTTCATATATTTCTCACTTTTAAAACCAAATATGGGGACCAGGTTCACTTGCTCATGCCTATAATCTCACCACTTTGGGAGGCCAAGGCAGGAGGATTGCCTGAGGCCAGGAGTTCACACCAGCCTGGAATATGTAGATCCCAACTCCATCTCTGTTATTTAAAATAAAGGGGAGGGGACTTTTATTAGAGAATGAAATAACCCAGCCCATTTTGTAAGGAGAACATTTGCACACAAAGTAAAAACAAACAACAGACCCCTTTCAGCCTCTAGTTTCCCTGTCAAGTTATCCTCAAGGGGAAAGATTTACATCTAAGACAACATTTGCCCTCTCACTTGCAAAGCAACTTAACTCAGTATGAAAATCAATGCCAGAGATGGAATGAAAGTAGAAAATCAGCTAACTATAGAAATCAAAAATAAACTTTAAATACATCTTATGGAATATACTGCTGTGGAAGTGTCTTTCAGCACAATTGAACTCCCAAATATTTGTGTCTTTCATCCTCATTCAATTGAACAAATATATACAAATATGTATTGAATTCCTTCTGTGTGCCAGGCATTGTGCTAAGAACTGAGGACTCCATAGTCCCTACCGTCATGAAACACAGTTTCATGAAGTCTGCTCAAATGAGAAATTCTGAAGGAAGTAAGGTGATGCTCTGTTGCACTCGTAATTTGCAGTCAAGTAAGAGTTCTCATGAATATAAAAAGATGCTCGGATCTATACAATATATAGAATGCTAACTCACACTCATGATCAAAACCAGGAAGGGCCATGTTGCCTTGTGACAATATTATGAGCTTTCAAAGGAAAAGTTATGGTCTTCTGTCAACATTAACCCAATAATCTCTTTTCTTTAAGGTGAGGAAATGAAAAATGAGGGCTATGGAACATTTAAATCCATGAATAAATCAGAAACTTTAATAGGGAATATGATTTAACTTTCTCCTGGGGATGCCAAAAAAGTTCAATAGATGCATATAAGTCATGAAATGTCCAAGAAATAGCAAAAGGTTAAGTCTACAGCTGCCTGGCATTTCTATAGCTATAAACAAGTCCAAATTACAGATCTATACAGCATCCATACTAAAACGTGAGTCTTAAACATTAAATACCCTAAGTCCCATTTGTGTCAACATTACACCTCATGTTCTGCCTGCCTTGCTCTCTGAAAATGATATTTTCCCTTGTGGATAGGCCTAAATGTGTGGCTGTCAGGCTGAGATTTATAAAAGACCTTCAGGTTGGCCAAGAATTGGTTCAGAATCTAAGAGCCAGCCAGATGTGGTGGGGACTGAGTATAGTTTCTATCCATCATTTGTCCGGGGGAAAGCAGGAATGAGAATCAGATGACTGTTCATGATGAATAAATGTGTGGATCTGAAATTTATAGGTCATAGATGAGATGAGAGCATCAGAAAACATGGACAGAGGCCACCGTCTCTGCTGCCAACTGAGAAAGGAAACAGCAAGAGGAAACCCCACTGTGTGTTGGCTCTGTAAAGAGATAGGGATGGCCAATGTAAAGACAGAGGGAAAACCAGCAAGGGTCACAGGTGGGAACTGGCGCAGTCTTTCAGACCTCCCCACTAACAAAGGTCAAGTAATAAGTGTGTAACAAACTATTCTGTAGTGAAAAAACTGCTGTATTAAATATAATAGCAACTTACTTTTGCTATTATAATTACAGTCCTTTTAATAGGATTATTCTTTCTTCTGGGGAGCATTTATAAAGATAAGATGCTAGTTTGAAAATGGGAGGAGAGAGAGCTAAATTACTCTGCCTAATTGAGGAGAAAATTTCAGATATCCTGAGGCAATGGGGGAGGGGAAGGAACAAAGAAAGGGCGAAAAGAAAACCAGGTGGTGGAAGTTCCAGCTTGACCAGAGGGATTAATATGTAGATTTTAAACTTGTTTGCTGTTTAGTTTACTTTGTGGCCCTCCCACAACTCTCTACAACCTCAGTATGGTTCTGGTGTGAGCAGTTGCTTTATATCCATCATTGCTTTTTTATTGGGGGGGGTTGGTGTTTAAATTAAGATAGCCCAGACACTTTTTGGAATATCTAGGATGAACTTAGATAGGAACGTTATGGTTTCTTTAGGTTGGTTCCTTTGCAGAAATTTAGTCTGCTGCCTAAATGGCAATATCGACATCTATTTGATAACCTTATTTTGAATTAAAACAGAGCTCTTCATACTCTGAATCTCAAATATAGAAAGCTCAGCTTGCTGTTTCCATAATACCTGCACCATGTCAATCTGTTCAGAGAGGGAACCTGGAAAAAGGCTGTCTGTGGGACTGAGCTGTTTTGAAGGATCTTGAAGTTAAGTCCTTACTGTGGTCTGAAGTGAAGCTGTCAACACTCTGGGTCGTAAGCCCAGGGCTCAAAATAATGTGAGCTGCTCTGCTTCCCAGATAAGTGCCTGGTTTTCATCATTCTGGAGGCATCTCAAAACCTTTGCAAGTTGAGAACAGTATCATAAAACTGCGTAAATCACAGACTGCTTGTGAGCCTCAGGTCCTGGGAAACAGTAAAGACTTGAGCTGGATAAGAATTTGACAAGTCTTCATTGTGGTCCATTTTTATCTGGGACCATGACAACATTATCCCAAAGAGATGGGATCATTCCTTTGCCTAGAGCTCCCTCAGAAAAGATTTCACCACTTTCCTCACTGTCAAGAATTCCTCTTCAGATCAGTCTAAATGTCTCATGGGCTAAAGAAGTAATACGCTCTGACTGCAGAGCCTGCTGCTTTCTCCAAAATTAGAAGCTTTCTCCATTAGTGGGAATACATGCCACAATCCATCACACATGTGACACATCTGTTGATACTTCTTATCTTGATCAAGATTGAAAATAAGAGACACTAACATCACGGCATAATAGGAATGTGTATTCAGTGCTTGATAAATATTTGCTGAGCCAGTAGTCCTTTTTGCAACTCTGAAATGCCCTTCCCTGCTCCTGAAATAACATTGAGAATTAATACTTCAGCACTGGTCACCCACTTAGCAAGCAAGGAAAAGTAATGGCTAGTCAGCAAATTGTTTATCTCTAAAACAGTCTAGATGTCTGTTACCACTACCCTTTAAATCACATAAAATGAATAAGCTCTTCGTTTAATTGCTGAATCTGAAAGCCACTGAAAAGCATATGTGAGTTCTTCGCAATTAGAATGATTAGAAGCCTCTTTTTGGATGTTCTGTACCATGCCTAGAACACTGGGAATACTTGACTATATAGTATTGTCAGTAAAACCTGAAAAGGAGAAACAAGTATTCTTAGCAACAGTTTTACTGTGGTCTCTGAGGAGTATACATCTGCTTTGAATGATGCCCCGTAACACAAACCGTGATTTCCAAGGTTACACTTCAAAGAATCCCACTGTTCTCTTTGTGAAGGATATTTCTTTTTAATAGTTTGTTAAAGAACAACTGTGCTCCAGCTGAGATATTTAACTTAGAAAATATATGATAAGCTCTGTAAATGTGCCATTTCTCTGCCACAGTTTAGCAATTATCTCTCTTTTTATATCAGAATGATATTAAAATGAAATGCTATCTTGCATTGGAATCTTGCCATAAATGATGAGTTCATATTAACCCAACTTGGTGAGTGATTAATTCTTTATTGTATAATTCATGATTTGGTTTTTATTATTATGAGTGGTAAAAAATAACCAGTATTATCTAATATACTGCAATGGACTTCTGAATCACACAGACCTATTTTCATACTGTAACTCAGCACTTAGAATTAGGTTGAAGCATATGATATTGCTGTCTTTATAGATTAAAAATGGTCCAATATCAGCATTTTCATGTGATTCAACCTAATAGCTCTGTGATCATGATTAATCTTCTTAATCTCTCTGAGCTTCACTTACTTACCTGAACTGTAACTATAATGGCTCCCAGAAATGTTATAAAGATTGAATGAGATAGTATATCCAAAACTTCTAATATCATGCCTGGCACATAGGTGCATAGTAAATGCCAACTTTATAATTGTTGTCACATACAAATTATTTTATGGTTTTGGTCCATTAGTTATATAAATTTTTATTTTGAGAGACAGAAGAGAGAATGACACACTAATAGTGCAGGTTTAGTTAAAAATCACCCTTTGTTAAAAATAATACTTATACTTACACATTAGGAAGGCTAAACAATATCTTATTACCTGAATAAGTTATTAAACTCAGAGAACATGAAGTTAGATGCAGTTCTTTTTATGGGATGTCAAATCATTTTTTGAATAAGAATTTTTCCAAAAAAAATTTACACTACAAATAGTCTGAGAAGACTAAGCACTGTGAAGTAAATCGTTAGCAAATCAAAGAGCTGAGACTAATTCAAGAGCAGGTTTCGAAGTCTGACTGCAGAATCTCACCACAGGAAATCACTTCATTGCGTTTCATAAATACTTTATATCAGTTAGCATTTTTAACTCTGTTCAGAATCACCAATCCATCTTTTTGCCCAGATGTGACATTATTGAGTAAATTGAGCCTAAAGAGTCCTTTGGTTTATTACCAGTAAATTTCTTGTTATTAAGTGAGCTGAGAAGGCTTTTATATGCCCTCTAAAATCGTATGTGGGCCCTGCTATTTTTAATTGTCATTGCCCCTACAGATTCCATATATGTGCTCATTTATATAATGAGAAGAATCCATATGTACTGTACAGGACATTGAATTCCCTGCATAATATGAATGAATATTAAGCACTGGAATCAGAAAAGAATCTCTTGAAATTCCATTAATATTTATAACTGATCTGTGGGACTAGGGGAATTCTTTAGTATAAAATATTCCAAATTCATGTTTGTAAAAAATGAAGCATCCTTGAATTTAAAATATAGTTTTCCTCACTAAAATAGATTTCTATTATAAATATAGCAAGTGAATTCTTGCTGTTGTTATATATCCTTACATTATTTAACAGAGTCAGGAAAGGCACTTTAGAACCTTGAGGTCAGTTGAACCTAATTCACTCTTTTTTATTAAAAATAAAATGCCTATTTGTTTACTGTATTCATAATAGTAGTTTCTCGGGAGTGGCTAACAATATCATAAAGATTATAGTCCCTCTGATTTAAGAGCTTTTGCCAAAATACCCAGATCCAATCGTTGTTTTTCCTGTCAAAATATAACAGGAAGAGTAACTCCATTTGTCTTATTAGGAAAGAAGATAAGAATGTCCACAGTAAACCAGTAGATTTCCTCCACAAAAGGAGCCAGGAATATTTTGACACTATCATAAATAAAAATTTCACCATCTGCTTAGTCTCAATTTTTCAAATTCAGCATTTTATAATGTCAAGGCAAAAACTTCTCTTTACTAAACCAAATGGATGACAGCAAAGCTTTAGGTCAAATCCCCCAGCCCTGAGATGTATTTTGCTCATTTGAGCAGCTACAAATCTAAAGCTGAACCCAATTATGCAACTGCAGTGATAAAGTGATATCCTTAGAGGCAAACCAGTATGCTGGCTCAAGGGGAAAACCTTGCCCAATTCAGGAAAATAGTCCAATCATAATACCACTTAACACAAAATTTCATAGAGGGCATAATGCTGAGTAGGCCAAAATAACAATGTATAATAAGGGGTGGCTGCATACTGCTGGTGAGTATTGGGAAAGTGGAGCATTTTAGTGGACTGTCATCATAGAAAACCAGGGCTTTTTTAGGCATTGTGGAAGGAGAACTCCAGTGAGAGCCTGGAAAACCAAATGTGAGTTAGGACAAATCCTCTGCTCCAGGGACGTTTCAATTAAAGGACTATTGAAACCCTTTCGTTTTTCCTTTTGGCAGTGCAAATAAAAGCTGCAACAGACTGAAAATCTCCTTGTGTCCCAGGATAAATAGATGTTTTCATGAAGCTTGGGAGGTGTCGGCCAAAGAAAATCTTCTCCCAAACAGATCCTGAAATATATGCAGTCTCACTAAATGTGGCCTTTTCTTTGAATGGACAGAATCTATGGAATTTTTAAAGGAACGAATACAAGGAAAATAGAGGAAAATTATCCCAGCCCTGGACAGAAAGTAGAATTCAGAATATATTTTTGAGAGTTGTTTTACTCCTTTTTTGTTGTTTTTGGAAAATATATATATATGTTAAGATCAAACTTACGTTCATCACTGGCTCTTGATTGCCTACTTTCATTATTCTGAACTTTTTCCTCCCCCATCTTTCCCATTTTTGAAAATGGAGCCACCAATCTCCTAGCTTTTTTGGGCAAAAATCCGAAATCATCCTTGATATTTTCCACTCCTGCACCACAATATGCAATCTGAAACCAAATCGTATTGATATTTTTTTCAAAAATAGACTTTGAATTCACTTCTCTTCATCGTCACTGTCACTGTCAAGACACTGTCTTATTTTAACTGGCTTTTCCATCCTTGCCCCTTTCCAGTTCATTCTTCAAATAACCAGAATGGTTTTCTTAGAGCACACATCTGTTCATGCCACTCACTTTCCTGTTCAAAGCCCTTTAATGCCTTCCCTTTGCACATGAGATTAAATCTCACATCCTTAACATGGCTGGCAAGGTCCTGAATGATCTAGTACAGGGGTCAGCAGATGTTTTATAAAGGCCAGATACTTTAGACTTTGCAAGCCATACAGTCTGTTGCAGCTACTCAAATCTACTGATGTAACCCAAGCAATAGACATATAAAAGAATGGGCGTGGCTGTGTTCTAATAAAACTTTATTTACAAACACAAGTGGCAGGCCAGATTTGGCCTGAAGCCCATAGTTTGCCAACCCCTGATCTCACTATCTCCTCACTCCTTAGCTCTCCAGTCACACCTCTCTTTCCTCCCATACTTTTTTCCACCTCGAGACCTTTGTCTATTCTGTTCTCTACCTAGACTGTCTCAGTTTAAATGTCCTTTCCACAGAGGGCATTCCTGAAGTCCTAATTTAATTAAAATGGTTTCTCTATTTTATTTTTATGATTTATTTTATACTTATATTTTAATTTTCTGTAACTATACATTGATTTATGTGATTATGTGTTTAATGCCTGTTTTACCTTCAAGTTGTAAGGTCCATGAATTAAGAAATTGGATATCATTGTATCTCTAGCACCTGGCACATAGCTTAATACACAGTAAATTCTCAATGAAATGTTTGTTAAGTAAATAGTGAATTAATGAGATCTGATCAAAACAAGGGAGCAGAAAACAAAAGATAACAATTTGGGAATCTGAGATCTGAAATATGAGATGCTTTTCTTGAGTTCATTTATTCCTAAGGTAGGTCATTTTAAAAGTTCTATACTTGAAATAGGGAATATGTATTAACCAGGGTGATGAATAGGCATGTCCCAAATCTTACTGCTACAAAGGCGCTTGTGGCTGACACACTGTGGCTTACACAAAGTCAGATGCAGGTTGAGCAGCTCTACTTCATCTGGTAGCTCTGCCACTTGGAAGATAAGCCCCAAAAGTCAGCCTGGAAATAGGAAAGAAATGGAGGAAGCACAAGAGCTTTGAACAGCTTTGGCCTAAGGTTGATACACTTTACTTTCCCTCCTAATCCATTGACCAAAAAAGTATTAAAAGTAATGGTAAAACCACAGTTACTTTTGCACCAACCTAATAGTTACATGGCTGCAACTTTCCTGCCAAGTAGACTGGGAGTACTCAGGGAGCACCTAGAATATGTGGTGAGTAGAAACTATCTTTTTGAGAGAATATAAAAAATCTTTTAAATATATTTCCTAATATTAAGGAAAATTGGTTATATGAAAATACTATAAACCTCACAGATTAGTATGAAATAGGTTATATCTTTTACCATTTGTAAAAAGCTTTTCTTAAGTTTTATTTTACAATTTAGTACATTTAAGCTAGCATCTCACTTGGTAGTAAACCTGGGTGTCTTCCTCTCATGCTTCCCTCAGGCTGTTTTCCACAAAACCCTTTAAAGTATGGTAGAGCAAAATACTCATTTTTAATAATTTCATGTTATGAGCCATGATTTTTCTATGTACTCTATGTTTTGGTTACTTTTAAATAATTATATGGCACGTTTCTTTTTACAAGTAAAAGATCAAAATAAAAAAATTGACTGTAGTGAAATGATCTTCACAAGAAAAGGAATATATATGTATGTTCTCTTTGCCTCTGAAAGTACTTATGTCTACATAAGTAATTCATTGTTTATACATTCAGTGTCTATTTATTGCACTCCATGGGCTAGGCATTGTTCTAGGTATTCTGGTGAATGATACAGCCAATATTCTTGTTTGTTCTCATTCTTTTTTTTTTTTTTTTTTTTTGAGATGGAGTTTTGCTCTCATTGCCCAGGCTGGAGTGCAATGGCATGATCTCGGCTCACCGCAACCTCTGCTTTCCAGGTTCAAGCAATTCTCCTGCCTCAGCCTCCCAAGTAGCTGGGATTACAGGCATGCACCACCACACCCGGCTAATTTTGTATTTTTAGTAGAGGCAGAGTTTCTCCACGTTGGTCAGGCTGGTCTCGAACTCCCGACCTCAGGTGATCCGCCCGCCTAGGCCTCCCAAATTGCTGTTTTTTGTTTTTTTTTTTTTGAGACAGAATCTTGCTCTGTTACCCCAGCTGGAGTGCAGTGGCACGATCTTGGCTCACTGCAACCTCTGCCTCTCAGGTTCAAGCGATTCTCCTGCCTCAGCCTCCCGAGTAGCTGGGATTACAGGCACGTGCCACCATGCCCAGCTAATTTTGTATTTTTAGTAGAGATGGGGTTTCACCATGTTGGTCAGGCTGGTCTCGAACTCCTGACCTCGTGATCTGCCCGCCTCGGCCTCCCAAAGTGCTGGGATTACAGGTGAGAGCCACCGCACCCAGCCTCTCCTTGTACTTACATTCTACAGGGAATATTAAAATATATTCCTGCATAATAATAAATAGTTAGAATTCCTTATAAATAAAATATCACCATGTTTAGTGTTTTCCTTTTTTCTTTTATTTCTACAAATTTCTGGAGTATATATATTTTAAAGTTTATGCAATGGAATGTTTATTGGATTGAAGAGGTAGTATCATAAAACAATGTCTTTTTATCTGACTGGTAATCCTAGTTGGGTCTTTAGAAATCCTTGAGTTACACTTACAGGAATGTAAAAATGTACCTTCTTTTAAAGAGACACTTGTAAACTTTGAGACTATATATACTCCATCAAAGAGAAAGGAAATGATCCTCTAATTTGAAATCAATCTCCTGAGGTTTATCCTCCATACGAAAGTATTTCATAGGAGAGATCTGTCTCACAAAACCAAATCTATTTCCTGCACTTGCAAGTAAAGTCAGAAGCCTAAAAAATGATGGAGAGGAATGAACTCTAACATGAGTTCTTGGCCAAGTGGAAAACTTCTCTGGTTCAGAACTTCCTAAGGCACCCTGCAGCAGGGATTCTGTAGAGCTACAAGGATTTTTATCCTGTGCTTGGGAACCTGGAAATCTCACCTCCTTGGTTTTCCACACTGGAAACCTTCAAGATATTGCTTCCTCTGTAAAGGTCTGAATTATTGCAAGATATTGAGAATTTCCAATTCAGTAGTTAGATGTGACTGGAATAATCAAAGAAGTCTCAAGTCCTAAGAACGAGGTGTAGGGAGAGAATGTTATCTAAAACGCCATGTGATATAGAAATGCATATGAGTCTTGAGCTGTCATTTACACAATGTATATCTGGGTGTCAGGGAAACCATGGATCTGCCTCACAGGTCTGCCTCACAGCCCAACATCAGCTTCTGCCTCCCTCTTGCTGTGTCAGTACATACATACATATTCACTTGTGTGTGTGCTAAGTGTGTCTCATCCTTTAGCAGAACTTATTTCTATATATGAACCAAAGAGAAGCATTTATAGTGGAATTTAGAATAATTTGTATCAGGAGTTTGAAAAATAAAAAGAAATGAAATTAAAAACTAGAACAACATTGCTCAATCTTTAAAACACCACACCTGTAATCTTAATTCAGCTTGTCCCTGGTCACTGTGAGCCAGGTACCATGTTGTGTGCTTTACATGTTTTATTGCATTTTATCATCACAACAACCCTATGAGGTAAATATTATTATCCCTATTTTATAGTTGAGAAAACTAAAGTTTAGAGAAATTAAGGAAGACCATGACTTCAACCTGAGCTTAGTTTGTCTCCAAATCGTACTTTTTTGATAAAAGTAAAAAAATCTCTGCCCTGAAGACCTTAATAAAAAACACCCCAGGAACACTTACTTCTTTCCCCACCACCTACTCTGCAACACATTGAAATTGACTGATACCTAGAAACTAGAGTCTTCTCTTTCATATCCTACCTAATCTATGCATTCTGTCATTTGTATAAAGAAAATAGCTGTAGCTTTTAAAATTTATTTGCTCAAGAAGAGATTATAACACCAAATGTGGTAGTTCAAACTTAACTTGCTCCCCTCACATATTTCCCAGATTTGGGTTAATGAAATCCTCAGTCCGTGTCTCTACCACAAATCCTCACATTCCACAGCCACCACCATGTCTACCATCCAAAATCCTGGAAATGGAAGAACCTTAGAAATCTAGCTTTCTGGCTGGGCGCAGTGGCTCACACGGTGGCTCGGCACTTTGGGAGGCCGAGGCGGGCAGGATCATGAGGTCAGGAGATCCAGACCATCCTGGCTAACACGGTGAAACCCCGTCTCCACTAAAAATACAAAAAATTAGCCAGGCATGGTGGCGGGCGCCTGTAGTCCCAGCTACTCAGGAGGCTGAGGCGGGAGAACGGCGTGAGCCCGGGAGGCGGAGCTTGCAGTGAGCCGAGATCGCGCCACTGCACTCCAGCCTGGCAACAGAGCGAGACTCCGTCTCAAAAAAAAAAAAAAAAAAAAAAGGAAATCTAGCTTTCCTACTGTCACTCACATGATGAGTGATATTCAAACTCATGGCATGATTCATGAAGATAACTCAAGTTATTAGGAATCCCAAGAAGCTCAGTGTTCTCTCGTGCTCAAGAGCACGTATATCAAACTACATGTGAGCAAGAGTAATGTTATTTTAGGGATAAACTTGGATTCATCTTAAGATATCTTTAAAAAGTATTATAAGTCATCCAGATTCTGTATATATCAATTTACCTGCTGTTAGTTACACATGACTTTCCATGGATCTGTGACGCTTGTGAATCACTTGTCCGTTTCAGTATGTGAATTGCATACATGTGCTATGTCAAGAACCGTTAGATAGTAGCAGAGCTAAACTAGACCAAAGCTTTCTTAAATAATGCAGTGCTTTTTCTTACCAAACTACAAAATAGTCCGTTGTATTTAAACTCAAAAGTAGGATGGAAGTGAAGGCCTAAAATTCACAGTGGCTCAAGGATTGAGAAAGCTCAGTTGAAGGGAAGCGTTTCCATCATTTTGGCCCTGCAGTTTCTTAGTTTTAGTCTCTTCTCTAAAGACACAAATTTCCACACTAGAAAAATCAAGGAGTGGTTGGGAAGGATGAACTTTTCTTCTCAAATCATCACTGCCAACTGATTTTTAGACTGCTGGAAAATTAAGGCTGAAAGAATAAGATGGACTTCTGCAACCCCTTTACTTCACATATGAAGAAATTGAGGCCCAGAAGAAGTGTTTCCAGTAATTATTTGGTCATGCTTTCTAAAGGAAATAGTCAAATCTAATCTTCTGTTTTACACTAGAGATATAAAGTAAGATTTGGGGGAGATGGGAGGAGGAGAAGGAGAGGGAAAAGAAAAAGAAAATAAAACTGATATTTGTAAGAACGAGCATAAATATGCCAGACACAGTACTAAAGGCTTCACACACTAGAATAGTTTAAGTTGCAAGTGACATAAAACTCATCTCAAATGGCTTAAGCAAGAAAAGGAGTGGGGAGACTTATTATTGTTCCTGAAAAATCCAGGAGTAAAGCTATAGGCAACTCTAGATAGATTCGATCAACATCATGCAAACTTAGCTTCTGCTCAATTTCTTGACTCTACTTTCTGCTGCATTGGATTCATTCATGATGACACCAGGTAGTACCAAGGATTTCAATGCCAAGTATGATTATTTTTAAAAAACAGAGAGAGAGCAAGACCATTTTCCTCAAAGCACAATAATTTTGGAATTGAGTCTTATTGACCTGATTGGCCTGGCTTTAGTTATGTACCCATTATCCAGCCAGTCACTGTGGCCAGGAGGGATGGATAAACTGATTAGTTGTAACCTAGGCTACTTTCATCAAGGCTGAAAGTAGAGGAGGGGTGATTCCCCTAAAACAAAATTTGGATAATGTTCCCCCAAAAGAGGTAGTGGATGCTGAGCAGCTGACATCCACCACACAGACGTTCTCTCATCTGGTCCTCCTAACTAGCCTGGAGGTCAGTAGTTAGTTAGCTACACTACATCATGCCATCCCTCAACAGGGTCCTGGATTTCTTGCATCTATTATGTAGATTACCAGACAGAAGACCTTTACCATCTGTGAACTGTTTTGAGCCCCTTCATGAGACCCAAAGCCAATCCAGTAGGAAAATAAAGATTAAAATCAATTTGTGAGGGCAATGTATTTTTTTCTCCCTAAAATAGGGAGTACTCTCTGCCCCATCTCTCAGGCCCAGCCTTGCCTGTCATCCCTCACCCCTATGTCAGCCTAATGACCTAATGTGTCAGGCTTAATGACCCCTAAGTCAGCCATTTCCACTGATCGCTTAGTCTATTATAAAGTCTTATCTAGTGTGATGATTTAACACAACACCTTGATGTTACATCTACTCCGCTCTCAGGGCTTTAGAATGCAACTACAATCAGTAGGAAATTATCCCTAGTTGCCCAACCCAGCCCCAGCTCTTGCCTTCCTACCCTGTCCCATAGCCTCTATCCAGCACCCGAAAGTATTGCTAAAATAGATAACATTTTGTTTATTATTCAGGTAGTTTATATTGCTGGTGAATGCTATCATTTACTTTCTCAGCTGACGAAGACAGAACACACTCTTGTGTGAACAATTTTTCATTGTTTACTGGAAGATTATTTCCTAAACTTGTATACATTTACTTATGTTGTAGCTATGGAGAAACATCTTCTGAAACTGGAAGTAGGAACTTTAGGGGAGTTCTCATTTTATTTTCAATTCATCGTGTGGGGTTTTACACACTTGTTTATATTTAACTAAATGCCTATCAGAATGGTTATCTTATGTGGAGTTGTTTAGAGGATGTCTGTGTGTCTTGTTTAAACATAAGAAATCCAAACTTATGTAGCCTTGAATAACAACGATTACAAACATACATGCGTATTAGTTTTAAAACTTCCCTTCCTAGCCTTTATTTAAAATGGCAAATGCATACATCCACAGATCTATTAGTACCCACAGGCCTAGAATAAACAAGTCAAAGACCTAAAGAAGAAAAGAAGCTAATAGGTGTGTCGGTTTTTTAAAAGCTAGTATTTCCACCTCAATGATAGAAAAGTTTCTTAGGGTTGCCTATGGAACTAGAGCTGTAATTGCTCTGCTGTGTGCATTCAATGCTGTCAGATTCTAAATGTGTCATAGCTTTGTCCAGTACTGCTGACCCTGCCGTGTTCATTCAGTAGATGGAGAAAAATCTTGCTTTATCTATCCATACTTCTTAGGTCCTGAGAACAGAACTGATACCTCATTCATTCATCTCTTCATCCAAGTATTCAACAATTATTCATTGCTTACCAATTGCCAAACCCCAAAGTAGTTACTATTAGAAATGTAAAATTGCATTTCTAAAATTTAATAGTAAAAGAATAAAACACTGAATAACAATCATCCTAGCTTTATACAAAACTGACATTTTCAAGTCTCTTTATATTTATTGCTAAAAATCAACCCATAGTGAGGCTTTGTTTGGCAGGAAAGGATCACAGAGCAACCTCTCTTATACTTCCAAACCCACAATGTAGTTATTTTGAACAAATTAAATCTGCGTTACCACTACATTCCACCTGCTTCTTATTTTTAATAAATGTGTCTTTGTCTAATGAACTAATATAGCTAATGAGGCAGCTCTTAGCCACCATTAAGTGAGGATTATAAAATTTTTGGCCTACATTTAGAAACAATTCACATGGGCCATCTGAAATGTAAAAGAGGGGCTGGGTGTGGTGGCTCACACCTGTAATCCCAAAACTTTGAGAGGCTAAAGTGGGTGAATCCCTTGAGTTTAGGAGTTTGAGACCAGCCTGGGCAACAGAGCAAGACCCCCATCTCTATAAAAAATAAAATAATTAGCCAGGCATGGTGGCACACACCTGGCAGTCCCAGCTACTTGAGAGGCTGAGGTGGGAGGATTGCTTGAGCCCAGGAGGTGGAGGTTGCAGTGAGCCAAAATTGAGCCACTGCACTCCAGCCTGGGTAATAGAGCAAGACATTGTCGCAAAGAAAAAAAAAAAAAAGTAAAAGAAAAGAAAGCTCAAATCAAAAAGTCAATGTACCAGTATACAATGTATTCTTTATTATGGAAGCTTATGCTTAAAGTTTATAAATCAAATTCACTGCTAAATGTGATGAAAGTATAAATAAATAGATATTTTGATAGTTTCACTTTTTAAAATAAATTTTAGGAAGAATTTGAAGATGACTGGAAAGACTTTGCTTATTTTAATGTAAGTTGTTGAAATTTTGACTGAGTTGGTATCTCACGTTAATTAATTTGTTAATTAACTACATATGTTTAGTTTGTGGCTTATAAGATAGCAGTTTTTTCCTTCTGGGACAAGAGTTATCAACTCAATGAACTTGAACTACAGAGGAAAAATTGCTTGCTCATTTTTTTTTAAGAGATTGAATGTTTTTAGCCTTAGACTTGATTGAGCTGTGGGTAGATTCAGATGATACTAATCACCTGTGGTTGAAATGCCTTCAACTCAATAAAATCATGATTTCAAGGGAAAAAAAAGAAATGTAAAATAAGACAATATCCATAAATTCAGGTACCCCTCAATCTAGAGGGGAGACAGACAAATAGACAATGAAAATACAATGTGATAAATACTGTAAGTGTGGAGAGCACTTTCCTCCCATCTACATTGTTTTCTGAAATCTGCATTTCCCATTGATGAAGTGAGGTACAATAAAACCTCAGTAACTCTAATCCTTTCAAATGAAGTGAGTCAGGCTTGATAGGTTGGTTTTTCAAATAGCATTTGATGAGCACTTATTGTGTGCCAAACCCTGAACTTCTCACTTTACATGGATTGAATCTGTACAGTAATCCTGAGGTTGGCATTGTTGTTTCTAGTGGGGCAAGAAAAAGTCAGATCTTTGGGAAAGAGTTTACAAATTGGATTTGTATGCAAAAATGCCACACTCATACATAACTAACTGAAAACTAAAAATAAAATAAGATATGTTTTAAACTAACAGATTAGCAAACATTACCCAGTGTTAAGAATGTGGAGAAATAAGAGCTCTCATTTACTATTGGGGGGATTGTGATTTTGAAGGGCCATTTAGCTATATCAGAAATAATTTTAAATATGCTTACCCTTTGACTCAGCAGTTCTATTACTAGGAATTTATCCTGGAGATAGTCTCACAGAAGTTCAACAAAGGTATGTGAATTGTCTTAGTCAATTAGTTTGTGCTCCTATAACAAAATACCTTAGACAGGGTAGTTTCTAAGCAGTATAAATTTATTGCTCACAGCTCTGGAGACTGGGAAATTCAAGATCAAGATACTGGTAGATTTGACATCTGGTGAGGGTTCACTCTCTCCTTCAGAGGTGGCGACTTCTTGCTGCATCCTCACACAGTGGAAGGGGGAAACAAGTTCCCTCAAGCCTCTTTTGTAAGGTCACTAGTCCCATTCAAGAAGTCGTAGCCCTCATGACCAAATCACCTCCTAACGGCCCCACCTCTAAATACGAACACATTGGAAATTAGATTTCACATACGAGTTTTGGGGAGACACAAACCTTCAGACCATAACAGAATAAATGTGTTTGTTGCAGCATTGTTTCTAACAGCAACAAACTGGAAAAAAAATGAAATTCCCAGCTCTGAAAGACTAGTAAACCATGGCAATTCATGTTATTAAATTAGGTAGGTCCCCATGAACTGCTAGAAATCTGTCCAAGATATGTTGCTTTAACAAAAGCAAGATATAAATGATAGCTATGGTAAGATTGTGTTTCCGTTATTAAACGGGAAGTAAATATGCGGGCTCATTTGTAGAAAATTTCAGGAAGGGTATTAAGAAACCACTGACAGTAGTTACCCTGGAGAATGGGGCTGCCAGTTCTGATACCAAAGCAGTACTTTTATTTTTTCACTTTATACACTTTCATCATGTTTGAATAACTTTTTAAAAAGTTTTGTAATTCAGATAAAAGTAGTTTTAAAACACCAAAAATAATTTAATAATATCTTTCCATTAAAGATTTACACTGTACATAACCATATCAGGGACCGAGAAGTTCCACTTAATTTTATTTAAGCCAGGCATTTCAAAAATATATTCGTCCAAAGAATTTTGTTGTTGTTTTGCCTAATAACTATTAATATGTCATGGTTCCTGTGGGAGGCACTGACTTAAGAAATTACAAAACAACAAGCAGCCTAAAGTCATACAGGCAGGGAGTAGGGAGACAGAATTTCAGACTCAAGATCTGAAGCTCAATTGATATTCCTCAAAAGTGTACAATCAGGATGGAGAAAGAGACCTGAGTTGCTTATGCTAAATGAATCATATCTTGTTTCTTAGGGGTAAAAACATTACTCCAGAATTTTCTATAAATCTTAAATGGTACATCATAGTTTCCTAGGAAGAGGTAGGTATAACCCTCAGCAGGAAGAGGAGAAAAAAACCACACACTTTTTTACTTGAATTATATTTCCTGACATTTAGAAGGGTGTCATTTCACCTCTATCATTTCCCCCTTTTAAAATAGATAGTTAACCTGTAAAAAGGGAAGTAAGGGTTTGTCAGGCAATTTTGGTGTCTGCTGACAAGAATACAATTTCCACATTCATTTATCTTTCTGAATCTTTTCCAGGCCAATTACCTTCTCCTATCACTTCTTTAGATCTTATAATCCTTAAGTCTCCCAAATGAGGCTGTTAATTCAAACCTCTTCAACGGTTTTAACTAGATATGTAAACAACTGCTTTTATCAATTAATATAGCCCCCTACCTCCAGGGACATAATATGGAAGAAAGTAAAACAAGTACTTTTCCTCAAAGATGACAGTATAAGAGTGAAATATGTAAAGGGAAGGACTGTGAGTAAAACCATCTTTTCTCCGCATGGCCCATGCCATCATTTCAGAAGTATTTACTTCCAGAACTTTACTCTTCAATTAAAACTGTAAAATTGTGTTGAATGATTATAAATACTACAAAAGTCCCTGCCGTAGATAAAGTTGGAGGTAACAAAGTTGCCCAGGACATATTTGGTGAGGAGTGTTATCATAGCTGAATTTTGGCTGCTGTAACCTATATATAAGAACTAGATCTGAGATTTTTAAAAAGCAAGTAAAATCTGCAGGTGGTCCCTCTGAATAGTGAGGCCTAGTTCTTGACCTGGGACCAGCAGTAGACACGCAGCCAAGGAGGTAGAATGCCAAAAGGCAGAGAGTACTTTGTGCTCCTTTGGCTTGGTTCTGCTAGCAAGGCAAGAAAGAGGAGAGAGAGACATCAGGAGCATGTTTACTTCTCTCTCAGCCTCCCTTTCCCATCTTTCTCCCCTCTCTCTCCCTGGCTATCTTTTATCATCCAGGGAAAGTTAGATTTTTTTTGTTGGACTTACTGATATGATTGGCTTGCTCTTCATTACAGGTGCTGCTGAGCCTGGGAGCCATATAAAAGAGCTAAATTGTAGTAACTCTCGTGGCTAGAGGGCAGTTGAGCCAGCCAGTTCCAAATGGACTGGAGAAGGGCAAACGTATCATCAACCTCCACCGCCATGAGAAAGGAGAGCAGACCACCACCCCTAAAACAGTGTGGCCCCCAGCTCCTTGTCCAACTTCTCTCCTCATGTGAATCTGTTTTCTGAACTAAGTCCTCCCCTTTACTTAGAACGTTCATTTGCACACACATCAATAGTATACCGTTTAGTGGATAATGATTCTGTTATTACTTTGCATGTGTTTCATTTCCCCCAGTAAGATGTAAACTCTTGAAAGACCTTAATACTGTGTCTCATGGCAACAAATGCCAGACACCAGGATGCTCATTTGACTGAATCAATAATTGAAGAAATATTTCACCCATTTCTTTTTGGTCTTGGTCTCTAACATTAAAGTCTTCCACTCCTTAAATTTCTTTAGTCCTCTATTTCCCTGTCAGAGATATAATTTAGAGCTGGCCTTTGGGAACGCAACCTCTGACCCTTGATACACACTGCCAAAAATTTAATTTTTCAGATGGAAAAAGTCTCTGATGTGTTTGCATGTGAATAAGGGTGTCCCAGGGAGTTTGAACTTTTAATATAAAGTTGTGAGAGCAAACCTAGGAGCAGAGATGCTGTATACCTAAGAAGGTACATTCTTCATATGGCTACAGAAGTAGAAAATTAGAAATGGGTGAGAAATGTGTCTCAGAAGTGGAAAAAGAATACCTAAGTTAATTTTTTCCTTATATCCAATTTTCTAGCCAATATTAAAATGCATTTGTTCCCCAGTGCTTTGTTAAGTTTCTGTTATAATACTTAATATGGTTTAGGATTTTTTTCAGAGATAACTATTCTGGTTCATCATTATTATTAAATAGTACCAGCCTATTTTAATTACTGTAGCTTTATAATGTATTTAAATATATGACAAAGCAAGTCTCTACTCATTGAATTTCTTTACAAAAAATTTTAAATATTATTATTGTATTTTACCTTTAGCGTCATTTTGTCAAATTGTAAAGGATGTTGCATAATTAATTAAAAATCATTTTTCTTACTAGTTATCACTGATATATAAGGAAATCAATTTTATGTAAAAATATTTCAACTTGATCAAGTTTATTGGATTCACTACTGTTTTCAACCATGTTTTCCTTCTTTCTAATAATTATACATCTTTTTTCCATTTTTTATCTTATTGTACCAACCAGAGCAATGTTAAATACTATTGGTGTTACTAAGAATTTTAGTTTCTGATTTTATTTAAAAAGCCTATATTATTTAATTATAAGATATGCTATAAACCATCAGCTTAAGAGAGATATTCTATCTCATTTTGAGGAAGTTACTTAACAAAATGTCTTACTGAGATGCCAAACCACAAACCCACCCTTAAGCAGATTTGGTGCCAGAATTCATTCTGCCAGCATATTGTATAAATCTAGTTAAAGTGGTCATGGGCAATATTGCCCTAAGGCCTCTGGCAGAAACCAAAGCACGTTTCCAAAGGAACATTATTTAAATGCAGGCACAAAGAATCTTTCAGATAAAGTTCCTAGGAGCATGAGCTCACAATAGAAATATATATGTATTATAAATAAACATATATAAAGAAATATATATAGAGAGAGATAATATAAAATTGTGTGTGTGTGTATATATATAGTGTGTGTATATATATTTATATTTATATATATATATATATATATCTCAAAACAGACAGAAAACCATGCAATTATGAGCAATAGTCGTCCAACAAGAACAACAACAAAAAAAGCCAGAGCCAACCTTATAAAGCCTGAAAATTTTGGAATAACCAGACACACAATATAGAATAACTATGTTGAATATGTTGGAAGAAATAAGAGTACTGACAGTATGACTAGGGAGAAAGAGACTATCAAAATTGATCATGCAGATTTGAAAAAGAGCCAAATAGAACGTTTACAAATGAAAAATAAAATAATTTAAATTTGAAACTCAAAGGACAAATTGAACATCAAAAAAACCACAGATGTAAGGAGAATGGTGAACTAAAAGATAAATCACAAAAAATTACACAGAATTTAGCATGGAGAGATAGAGATAGAAAATACTGAAAATAGATCAAAATATGTGAAGATAGAATGAGAATATCTAGTATATCCCTAATTAGAATTTCATGAAAAGAGGTTAGAGAGAATGGGAATAAGGAAATATTGGGAGAACTAATAGCTGAACAATTTCCAAAATTAATTACAAAATTAAGTCTTCAGATTCAGAAATCCCAATGAAGTCAACAAAGGTAAACCAAAAAAAACCTCAAATCTTAAAATAACTGAATAAAACTGCACAACATCAAAGACAAAGAAAAAACCATAAAAGCAGCTAGATATAAAAGAAAAATTAACTGCAAAGGACCTACAGCCAAATTAAGAAAGACCTCTCAGGCTGGACATGGTGGCTCACACTTACATCCCAGCACTTTGGGAAGCTAAGGCAGGAGGATCGTTTGAGGCCAGGAGTTCAAGACCACCTGGGCAACATAGCAAGACCCTGTCTCTATAAAAAATAAAAAACTAGCTGGGTGTGGTGGTCTTAGCTACCTGGGAAGCTGAGGCAGGAGGATTGCTTGAGTCTGAGAGTTCAAGGCTGTAGTGAGCTATGATTGCACCACTGTACTTCAAACCTGGGTGAGAGAGCAAAAAAAAAAAAAGAAAAACAAAAAACACTTGACTTCCTAACAGTCTCAAAAGAAGCTAAACTACATTGGTATCATATCTTTAAAGTCTTGAGAAAAATATTTTCAATTTATTATTATATACCAAGAAAAATTATATTTCACAAATGCAGATAAAATAAAGACATTTTAAGGAAAGCAAAATCTGAGAGAGTTCTATCTCCATTAGAAGTTCATTTTAAGAACTTCACAGAATACTTTTGGAAGAGGAAAATGAGCCTAGAGGGAGAATCTGAGATCCAAGAAAGACGCTTTTCATGAATAAAAACAAACATTAACTGTATAAGATAGAACCAAAGAAATAAAATAATCCTGAACAATAAAAGCATATAAACTTAGAGTTAGTAATCTAAGGCTCTAGTATTATTTAGGAGAAGGATAAAGGTATTTGTTCACTTTCAATTTTAATTTAATATGTATGCTTAAATATATCAGTATTCGCTAAAAATATAACTATATAATTTCCAAGATAGTAGAAGGGGAAAATGGAATAAAATGTAAACATGGTTTAATCAAAAAGAAGACTTTTTTGAATTTAAAAAAGAAACGTGCAAACATGCATGCTGAATAAGTGGGACAAATACAAAGAAAAAATACCCCTTAAAAAGCACATCTAGTTGTAAAGAGGTTCACAATGTATTGTTAAAATATTCAAACATCAGGAAACTATTAACCTAACTTAGATATAAAGCAAAAATTGTCAAGACTGAAAGCAGAAATTGGCAAATTTACCATCATCAGGAGAGATACTTCTTTCAATAACTGAAGTGGACAAAAAAAATCATAATGCAATTCATGAGAACTATACAATCAATGAGATTGTTCTAATTAACTTTTGTAAAATGTTAATTCAGGCCAGGCACGGTGGCTTCTGCCTATAATCCCAGCACTTTGGGAGGCTGAACTGGGCAGATCACATGAGGCCAGGAATTTGAGACCAGCCTGGCCAACATGGCGAAACCCTGTCTCTACTAAAAATACAAAAATTAGCTGGGTATGGTGGTGCACGCCTGTAGTCTCAGCCACTCAGGATGCGAGGCACAAGAATCACTTGAACCTGGGAGGCAGAGGTTGCAGTGAGCCAAGATTGTGCCACTGCACTCTAGCCTGGGTGACAGAGCAAGACTCTATCTCAAATTAAAAATAAATAAATAAATTGGCTGGGCGCAGTGGCTCACGCCTATAATCCTAGCACTTTGGGAGGCCGAGGCGGGCAGATTGCCTGAGCTCAGGAGTTTGAGACCAGCCTGGGCAACATGGTGAAACTCCGTCTCTACTAAAATACAAAAATACATACATACGTACATACATACATACATACAAAATGTCAATTCAATACCTAGAAAATTCTATTCAAGTACACATAAAACACTTATAAGAACTGACTATATATGAGGCCAATCAACAAATCTTAAAGTAGCATTGCCTTAGTCTATTTTCACTCTGCTATAATGAACTTCCCTGAGACTAGATAATTTATAAAGAACAGAGGTTTAATTGACTCACAGTTCTGCATGGCTGGGGAGGCCTCAGGAAACTTATAATCATGGCAGAAGGCAAAGGGGAAGCAACCTTAGACCTTTCTCATGTGGCAGCAGGAGAGAGAAGAGTGAGGAGTGAAGGGGGAAGAGCCCCTTATAAAACCATCAGATCTCATGAGAACTCACTCACTTTCACAAAAACAGTGTAGGGGAAACCACCCCCATGATCCAATCACCTCACATCAGTCTCTCCTAGACACATGGGTATTATAGGGATTACAATTCAAGATGAGATTTGGGTGGAGACACAGCCAAATTATATCATTCCATCCCTGGCCCCTCCCAAATCTCATGTCCTCACATTTCAAAACACAATCATGCCTTTCCAACAGTCTGCCAAAGTCCTAACTAACTCATTCCAGCATAAACCCAAATGTCCAAGTCCAAAGTTTCATCTGAGAAAAGGCAAGTCCCTTCCACCTACGAGCCTGTAAAATTAAAAGCAGGTTAGTTACTTCCTAGATACAATGGGGGTATAGGCATTGGATAAATGCTCCCATTCCAAATGGGAGAAATTGGCCAAAATAAAGGGGTTACAGTCCCCATGCAAGTCTAAAACCCAGCAGGGCAGCTATTCAATCTTAAAGCTCTGAAATGATCTCCTTTGACTCCATGTCTCACATCCAGGTCACACTGATGCAAGAGGTGGACTCACACAGTCTTGGGCAGCTCTACCCTTGTGGTTTTGCAAGATACAGCCCTCCTCCCAGCTGCTTTCACAGGCTGGCATTGAGTGTCTGCAGCTTTTCCAGCTGCATGGTGCAAGCTGCCATTGGATCTACCATTCTGGGATCTAGAAGATGGTGGCCCTCTTCTCACAGCTCCAGCTAGCTTGAGTTTCTCCCCAGAAAATGGGTTGTTTTCTATCGCATCATCAGGCTGCAAATTTTCCACTTTTATGCTCTGTATCCCTTTTAAACATAAGTTCCAATTTCAAATCATCTATTTGTGAATGCATAAAACTGAATGCTTTTAAGAGCACACAGACCACATCTTGAACACTTTGCTGCTTACAAATTTCTTCCACCAGATGCCTTAAGTCATCTCTCTCAAGTTCAAAGTTCCACACATCTCTAGGGCAGGGACAAAATGCCACTAGTCTCTTTGCTAAAGCATGGCAAGAGTGACCTTCGCTCTAGTTCCCAATAAGTTCCTCATCTCCATCTGAGATCACCTCATCCTGGACTTTATTGTCTGTATCACTATCAGAATTTTGGTCAAAACCATTCAACAAGTCTCTAGGAAGTTCCAAACTTCCCCACATCTTCCTGTCTTCTTCTGAGCCCTCTAAACTGTTCCAACCTCTGCCTGTTACCCAACTGCAAATTCTCTTCCACATTTTCAGGTATTTTTGTATCAATACCCCACTCTCTGAGGTACCAATTTACTGTATTAGTCTGTTTTCACACAGCTATGAAGACATACCCAAGACTGGGTAACTTATAAAGAAAAGAGGTTTAATTGACTTACAGTTTTGCATGGCTGGGGAGGCCTCAAGGAATTTACAATCATGGCGGAAGGCAAAGAGGAAGCAAGCTTGGGCCTTCTCACATGGCGGCAGGACAGAGAAAAGAGTGAGGAGCGAAGTGGGGAGAACCTCTTACAAAACCATCAGATCTCATGAGAAGTCACTCACTATTACAAGAACAGCATGAAGGGAAACCAACCCTATGATCCAATCACCTCACACCAGTTCTCTCCCTAGACACATGAGGATTATAGGGATTACAATTCAAGATGAGATTTGGGTGAGGACACAGCCAAACCATGTCAATCATAGAGAGACCAACACAATTGAGATAGAATTTATTTTTAAAAATGCGTGTTATGATAAGCAGCATGTAGTTGGATGTGACCCATTATGACAATCTTTTTCTTTAAATAAGTACATTTAACCTATTAATGGTTACAACTGTCATGACCATGAATCTGAGGCAGCTACAGTGCTTACTTCAAAACAAATGTTAATTTCTGTTTGGAGAGTCGGCAACTTCTGTAGCTTTTGATTGTAAGTATTTAATGCTTGAGCCTTCTAAATCTTAGTGCTCTATTAGCAGCTGATGATTATAATGCTGCTGCTACTGCTGGGGTTGCTGCTGTTTTTATCAACATTCGGTGTCCTGACCTTCACTCAAAATTGTAGACTAAAAACTGCTGTGGCTATTTCACACTCATTAGGATGGCTATTATTAAAAACAAAAACAGAACAAACAGCAAATAAGTATTGGTGAGGATGTGGAGAAATTGGAACCCTTGTGCATTTCTGGTGGGAATGCAAATGGTACAGCCTATGGAAAATGATGTGGTTATCAAAAAATTAAAGATAGATTTCCCATATGATCCAGCAATTCCACTTCTGAGTATCTACCCAAAAGAAGTGAAAGCAGGGACTTGAACTGAATTTGTACAGCAATGTTCATAGCAGCATCATTTACAATAGCTAAAAGGTAGAAGCAACTCAAGCGTCCATTGAAGGGTGAATGGATAAGCAAATTGTGACATATACATATGGTGGAATATCATTTGGCCTTAAGAAGGAAGGAAACCCTGACCTACTACAAAATATATGAACTTTGAGGACATCATGCTAAGTGAAATAAACCAGTTACAAAAGGACAAATACTGTATGACTCCATTTATACGAGGTGCCTAGAGTAGTCAAATTAATACAGACAGAAATAGAATGGTAGTTGCCAGGGCTGGGGAAGGGAGAATAGTTACTTATTGTTTAAGGGATATGGAGTTTCAGTTTAGGAAGATGAAAAAGTTTAGGAGATGGATAGTGGTCATTGTTGGCTTTTAAAAAATAAATTCAGGTGGCACCTGTGCAGATTTGTTACATGCGTATATTGTGTAATGCTGGCGTTTGGGCTTCTAGTAAACCCATTACCCAAATATTGAACATAGTACCCAATAGGGAATTTTTCAACTCTCTCCCCACTCCCATCCTTACCCTTTCTGGAGTGCCCAGTGTCTAGAATGCATATCCCATTCTTTCCATCTTTATATCATGTGTACCCATTGATTAGCTCTTACTTATAAGTGAAAATATGGGGTATTTGATCTTCTGTTTTAGTTTTTTTTTTTTTTTTGCAAAGGACACAATTTCGTTTTTTATGGCTGCATAGTATTCTGTGGTGTATGTATACCACATTTTCTTTATCCAGTTCACAATTGATGGACACTTAGCTTGATTCCCTGACTTTGCTATTATGAATAGTGCTGCAGTGAACGTACGTGTGCAGGTGTCTTCTTGATAAAATGATTTTTTTTTCCTTTGGGTAGATACCCAGTAGTGGGATTGCTGAGTAGAATGGTAGTTCTATTTTTAGTTCCTTGTGAAATCTCCATACCGTTTTCCGTAGGGGTTAAACTAATTTACGTTCCCACCAACAGTGTATAAGCGTTCCTTTTCTCTGCAGCCTTGCCAGCATCTATTGTTTTTTGACTTTTTAATAATAGCCATGCTGACTGGTGTGAGATGGTAACTCATTGCGATTTTGATTTGCATTTCTCTGATGATTAGTGATGTTGAACATTTATCCATATGTTTGTTGGTTGCTTGTATGTCTTCTTTTGAGAAGTATCTGTTCATGACCTTGCCCCACTTTTTAATGGGGTTGTTTTGTTTTGTTTTTCTTGTTGATTTGTATAAGCTCCTTATAGATTCTGGATATTAGACCTTTGTCAGATGCACAGTTTGTGGATATTGTCTCCCATTCTGTAAATTGTCTATTTACTCTGTTAATTAGTTTAATTAAATCCCATTTGTCTGTTTTTGTTTTTGTTACATTTGCTCTTGAGGTCTTAGTCATATATTCTTTGAATATGCCAACGTCCAAAGTAGTTTTTCCTAGGTTTTCTTCTAGTATTTTTATAGTTGCAGGTCTTACATTTAAGTATTTAATCTATCTTGACTTAATTTTTGTCTGTGGTGAAAGGTGGTGTTCCAGTTTCATTCTACTGCGTATCCCTAGCCAGTTTTCCCCCACATAATTTACTGAATAGGGTGTACTTTCTTCATTGTTTGTTTTTATTGACTTTGTCAATATCAGTTAGTTGTAGGTATATGGATTTATTTCTGTGTTCCGTATTCTGTTCCATTGATCTTTGTCTGTTTTTGTACCAATACCATGCTGTTTTGGATACTGTAGCCTTGTAGTATACTTTGAGTTTGGGTAATGTGATGCCTCCAGCCTTGTTCTCTTTGCTTAGGATTGCTTTGGCTAATTAGAATTGTTTTTTTCTAATTCTGTGAAAAATGATGTAGGTAATTTGGTAGGAACTTCACTGAATCTGTAGATTGCTTTGGGCAGTATAATCATTTTAACAATCTTGATTCTTCCTCTGTATGAGCATGGGATGTTTTCCAATTTGTTTGTGTCATCTATGTGTTCTTTCATCAGTATTCTGTTGTTCTCCTTGTATAGATCTTTTACCTTATTAGTTAAATGCATTTTTAGATATAGTATTTTTTGTGGCAAATGTAAGTGGGATTGAGTGTTTGATTTGGTTCTCAGCTTGAGTGTTGCTGGTGTATAGGAATGCAACTGATTTTTTTGTGCATTATTTTTGTATCCTGAAACTGTACTGAAGTCATTTATCAGGTCTAGGAGTCCTTTGGAGCAGTCATTAGGCTTTCTAGGTATAGGATCATGTCATCAGCTAGCAGAGATAATTCTACTTCTTCTTTTCCTATTTGTATTACTTTTATATCTTCTTCACACCTAATTGCTCTGACTAGGACTTCCAGTAATATGTTGAATAGGAGAAATGAGAGTAGACATCCTTGTCTTGCTCCCATTCCTAGGGAGTGTATTAGTCCATTTTTACACTGCTATAAAGAACTGCCAGAGATAATTTATAAAGTAAAGAAGTTTAATTGACTAACAGTTCTGCATGGCTGGGAAGGCCCCAGGAAACTTATAATCATGGCAGAAGGGGAAGCAGGCACTTCTTACATGGCAGCACATGAGAGAGCACCTGTGAAGGAGGAACCGTCAAACACTTTAAATACCATCAGATCTTGTGAGAACTCACTGTCATGAGAACAGCATGGGGAAAACTGCCCCCATGACCTAATCACCCCCAACCCCCGACACATGGGGATTACAATTTGAGATTAGATTTGGTTGGGGACACAGAGCCCAAACCATATCGGGGAAATGCTTTCAATTTTTCACCATTCAGTATGATGTTGGCTGTGGGTTTGCCATGTATGGCTCTTATTATTTTTAGTTAAGTTCCTTTGATGCCTAGTTCGTTGGAGGGTTTTTATTGTGAAAGGATGTTGGATTTTATTGAATGCATTTTTTGCATTTATTGAGATAATAATATGGTTTTTGTTTATGTGGTGAATCACCTTGATTTGTGTATGCTGAACCATCCTGGCATACCAGAAATAAAACCCACTTGATCACGATGAAATATCTTTTTGATGTGCAGCTAGATTCAATTTGCTAGCATTTCATTAAGAATGTTTGTGTCTGTGTACATCAGGGATATTGGCCTATAGTTTTCTTCCTTGATTGTGTCCTTGCCAGATTTTGGATGATACTGGTTTCATAGAATGAGTTGGGGAAGAATGCCTCCGCCTCAGTGTTTTGGAATCGTTTCATTGAGATTGGTACCAGCTTCTTTGTAAGTCTGGTAGAATTTGGCCATGAGTCTGTCTAGTCCTGAATTTTTGTTTTTCTTTTTTGGTTTGTAGATTTTTTGTTACTAATTCAATTTTCTAGCTCATTATTGGTCTGTTCAGCATTTTAATTTCATCTTGATTCAATCTTGTGAAGTTGTGTGTTTCCAGGAATTTATCCATCTCCTCTAGGTTTTCTAGGTGGTGTGCATAGAGATATTCATAATAGCTTCTGAGAATCTTTTGTATTTATGCAGTATCAGTTGTAATGTCACCCTTGTCATTTTTTGATTATGCTTATTTGAATATTCTTTTTCTTGGTTAATGTAGCTACTGGTCTATCAATGTTGTTCATCCTTTCAGAGAACCAACTTTTCATTTCGTTGATCTTTAGTATATTTTGTTGGTCACAATTTTATGTCATTCTGCTCTGATCTTTGTTAATTCTTTTGTTCTTCTATCTTTGGGTTTGGTTTGTTCTCATTTTTCTAGTTCTTTTAGATGTGACATTGGGTTGTTAATCTGAGATCTTTCTATCTTTTTGATGTAAACATTTAGCAGAATAAACTTTCCTCTTAGCCCTGCTTTTGCTGTATCCCAGGGATTTGGATATTTTGTTTCTATTTTCACTTGTTTCAAAACATATTTTGATTTGTGCTTTAATTCTTTTGTTTACCCAAAAGTCATTCAGCAGCAAGTTGTTTGTTTGGTTTCCATGTTCTTATGTGGTTTTTGATAGTTCCTCTTGGTATGATTCCTGATTTTATTCCACTGTGGTCTGAGAAGATGCTTGATATGATTTTGATGTTTTTAAATGTATTAAGATTTGCTATATGGCCAATCATATAGTCAATTTTAGAGACTGTTCTGTGCACAGATGAGAAAAACATACATTCTGTGGTTGTTGGATGCAGTGTTCTGTGGTGTTTACTGGGTCCATTTGGTCAAGAGTCCAATTTAAGTCCAGATTTTCTTTGTTGTTTTCTGCCTCAGTGTTCTATCTAGTGCCGTCAGCATGGTGTTGAAACCCCCTACTATTATTGTAAGGCTGTCTATCTCTTCTCTTTAGGTCTAGTAGTATTTGTTTTCTAAATCTTGGTGCTCCGATGTTGAGTAAACATACATTTAAAATAGTAGAATTTTCTGATTGAATTGAACCCTTTATCATTATATAATACCCTTCTTTGTCTTTTTTTTTTAATGTGTTTGTTTTAAAGTCTCTTCTATCTCACACAGGAATAGCAACCCTTACTCTTTTTTGTTTTCCATTTGTGTGATAGATCTTTCTCCATTCTGTTGTTTTGAGACTGTGGCTGTCATAATGTGTGACATTGGTCTCTTGAAAACAGTAGATGGTTGGGTCTTGTTTTTTTTAATCTAGTTTGCCAATCTGTGTTTCTCAGGTGGGGCTTTTATGCTGTTATGTTCAAGGTTAATATTGATATGTGAGGTTTTGTTCCTGCCATAGTGTTGTTAGCTAGTTACTTTGTATTCTCAATTGTGTAATTGCTTTATAGGATCCGTGTACTTTGGCCTTATGTGTACTTTTATGGTAGCAAGCATTGTTCTTTTGTTTTCATGTTTAGAACTTCTTTGAGCTTTTCTTGTAGGACTGGTCTGGTAAAGAAGAGTTCCCTTAGCATTTGCTCATCTGGGAAAACTTTATTTGTCCTTCATTTATGAGGTGTAGTTTGGCAGGGTATAAAATTCTTGGCTGACTTTTTTTTTTTTTCCTTTAGAGAGTTAAAAATATACCCCCAATCTCTTCTTGCTTGTAAGGCTTCTACAGAGAAGTCCACTGTTAGTCTAATGGTATTTCCTTTATGGGTAATTTATCCCTTTTTTTCAGGTGCCTCCCTTTGAGAATTTTTTTTTCATGTTGACCTTGGATAGTCTGATAATTATAGGCCTTGGTGACTATCATCTTCTGTAGTATCTTGCGAGAGTTTTCTAAATTTCTTATATCTGGATGTTGATGATTCTAGCAAGGTTAGTAAGATTTTCCTGAATTACTGTCTCCAATATGTTTTCCAGGTTGCTTTCTTTTTCTTCTTCTCTCTCAGGAATACCAACCAGTTGTATGTTTGTTCACTTTACATAATCCCATATTTTTCAAAGGCTTTCTTCATTTTTCTAAATTCTTTTTTATTTTTGTCTGACTGGATTAATTTGAAAGACCACATTTCAAGCTCTGAAATTCTTTCTTCTGCTTGTCTAGGTTATTGTTAAAGCTTCCAACTGTATTTTGAAATTCTTTCCATGAATTTTTTCATTCCAGAAGTTCTAATTGTTTGGGTTTTTTTTCTTTTTTTGACATAGCTGTCTCATCTTTTATAGCCTGAATTGTTTTTCTGGTTTCTTTGTATTGGATTTCAACTTTCTCTTGGATCTCATTGAGTTTCCTTAAAATCCATATTTTGAATTATTTGTCTGCCATTTCAGACTTTTCATTTTTGTTAGGACCTATTGCTACAGAGCAAATGAAATACTTTGGAGGTGTCAATCCACTCTAGGTTTTTTTTTGCTACTAGAGTTCTTGCACTGATTCCTTCTCATATGAGGGATCTGTCACGTTTATTTTTTAATTTTCTGTCCTTTTGATAGGACTTTTACATTTTGTAATTCTTTTTTATCTTGAGGGTATGTTGTATGTTGTGTATGATCATTTGGCCTCCTTTCCAGGTGCTTTCAGAGGACCAAGGTGCTGTATGGGTCCTTCATTGTGGGTAGCTTTTGTGTGGTGGCTTTCTCGGATGCTGCTTGTTGTAGCAATATATTTGACATATGAGCTAACACTCTATCTACTGCTTGGCTGAGGGTATGGAAGTCTCATCACATACACTAGCACTCAGCCCTTCTGGCAGCAGGTGTTTTATTTGGTGGTGGAGTTCAAGCTCTAGTCCAGTAGGTGGCACTTAAGAGTAAGAGCTGGCCCACCCACAGGTAGATTGATGATGAGCGGAAGCACCTGCCCTGATATAGAGGGGAGGAGATTTTGTTGGAGCATGCTGAGGTCTTTGGGGAAGGAGCAGTTGGGGAAGTGCACCAGCTCCTCATCCTGACCAGGCAGGAATGCCAGCTGCTTCCCCTATCACACCATGTCACAGGGCTCCCAGCCTTCAGTTCATAAAGACTTTTTCCTTTGGTTCCCAGCTGCAATGTGGCTATGGGCTACTGATATACCATTTTGGCAGCTACCACCAAGATGGTCTTGGGGCAGAGCCCCTTCCCCCAGTCCAGAGCAGACAACTCTGTGGCTTGTCTGTGTCCTCCATTGCCAGGATGCTGCTGTTTTGTGTAGGGTCAGGGAGTTGGGCCCTGCCCTTTGTGCAAGCCCAAGCAGCATGGGCTCACTTTCAGCGAGTGTGGATTCACTACAAAAAGTGTGATAAGTGCTTTCTCCAGGTGCACATATACCAGCCCCCAGCCAGAAGAACCACTACTGCATCCTCAACAGTGGCTAAAGGTGGCAAGGGGTGGATGACTCCCTCTCCACAACCCTTCCTAGCCATCAGTGCTACCCCCTTCACCGATTGGTGCCACTTCCTTCATTTCCTTTGTCCCAAGGGAGACTTTAGTGGGCTGTGCTCCCCATTGCCTTCAGGGCAGCCCACCAAGGGTGAGATCTCCAGGGCTCCCACAGCTCCACAGGGACCCAACAGCCCCATGTTTGCCAGAGACAGAATGGGTTGTGGGGTATGTTTGTGGGGAATCTCGTGGTGTGGTGACTCAAGGGCAGAGATTCCCTGGGCAGGGCAGTGTCCCACCACAGGTGCACAACCAGCATGGCTCAGTTCAGCCATGTCAGTTCAGGTCTGAGGGGAGTGTAGGCATGCTTAACATGAGCTGGCCACCTGGTTCTTTGCCCCTGGAAAATTCCCCCAAGTCACCACTGACAGCATTGCCCGTGATCCAGAGGGCAGAGGGGCTCCCCAACAGTTTGACAGTCAGTGAATTGTTGCAGGGGTGAAGGGAGCAGAGAAGCACACCCACTACCCCTTAGCACAGGGTTCTGAGTTCCTCAGGGGTCAATCTCTGCCAGACCCTTGCTGCTTTTTTTTTCTGCATCTCAGCTTTTTCCCCTGGGCACTCTGTCAGGTCCTGGATCTCTTCTGTAAGTTTTGCATTTGGAACTTGTCCATTCACAGATAACTTTGATCTTTCTGAAAAGAGCTGGCATCTGATGTCACTAGACAGGCATCTTGAAAACCAGCAGCTTGATGGTGACTGTTATAGAACAAAGTGAACATACTCAATGCTACTGAACTGTATATGTAAAATAGGTTAAAACAGTAAATTTTATGTATATTTTACGAAACACACACAAAAAAATCAAATCCTGCTCTGCCTATACCCAGGAATAGTCTTCCATTGTCGCTGGGGTGTTGATGTAATGATCAGTCTTAATGCTTTGAGAGAAGTCAATTCTGTTATCCCTTTCTAAAGCTGCTCTTTCAACAGTGGAGAGGTGGAAACAAGAATATTACCTAGGAATGCCTTCTGTTTGTGTAGCACTTTATGTTTGAAGGAAGGCTTTTATGTGAGTAATTCATTTAATCCTCATGGCAGCCTTGTAAGGTCAGTAGTGTTGCTCCCTTTTAATTGATGGAAAAAAGTGAAGCCTGAGAGATTAAGTTGTCCAAGATTACAGGGCTATTAAAGGATGCAGAGGTTCAAATACTTATCTTCTGACTCTATAGCCATTGATTTCCCAAAGTAGAGAAATAATTGTCAACTTACTGTGAGCTTTACATTTAAAATGCCAAAAGCTAGGTGATATTCTTGTTAAACTGAATAAAGAAAAGAAAAAGAAAAATAGCATCATTAACTTCCCCGTGACCAAGGAATAATGATTATGCTGAATTTATGCTCTAGATCCTATTAACATATTTGTGGCTTTTTATACTGCTCTATTTTCAAACTTTGATCACGTTTAAATTCTGCTTGACTCTTTGTATTTTTAGACTTTAGCTTCTGAAAACACACTCTGATTTAGGGTTGGGGGAGCTTTTCCCCAAAACTTACTGTTTTCAGTCATAGCTATTCAAATTTTCATCTAAATTTTCAAAATAAATGTACAATTCAAATAAAAATAAGTAGGCAGGTTGTTCTCTCATTGTTATGCGAGAACTATTTCACTTTAGGTCTTAAATTTCATGTTTTATTGCTCTCCGTGGAGTGGATGGTTAATGTAAATGGGAGAAACCTGGCATCACACCATCACTGGTCTTAGTGACTTTACGAGTTTCCCCTGGAACAAATAGCTGGGTCAGTGCAACCTCCCAATTCTCAGCATGCAGCTAGCATTCATTTTCCTTTGAAGCCTGACATAGATAAGTCAACTCAGAGCCCCAACTTCCCTGCTTCAGAATGCTGACCTAGTAGTTTTCTCTGTTGCTGGGAAGATGTGGTACTGTATGGAAGAGGGGTGGCATTGATACCCCGTCACTGTGAACAAGCCTCCCTGAGTTTATTAACTGATAACATAAATAAAACTTCCTAAGGCAATATGCAATAGATTTCTCACTGTGGTGGTATTCTGTGAAAGAAATTGAGATTTTCCACTCCTGAGTCCTTCCCTCTGTACAGAACCTGTAAAGTCTTCACTGACAGGTTACACATTGAACATTCAAAGAGATGGCCCCTCTATTTCCTCTTTCAAGTTGTTCCAGCTACTGTGAGGTGAAAATACTGTACAGCCCAGCTTACCATTGCATTTACTGCACAAATTCTGAATTCAGGTCCCTCACCTCGTATATGTGAAACTCCTTGGAAGCATTCACTTCACTTTAAAAAGTTTGCAGCATGTTGGGACTCTCTTCTCTTGTGTTTTGCCATAAAATTCATAAACCAGGGTTCCTTGTGCTGAGTGCAAAGGAAAAATGAAGTACTTTCACAAAACATGACTCACACCTATAATTTAGGCAACACTGAGGAAGCTTTACGCGTGTCTCTGGCTTATTGCTTCCATTCCCATAGCTTAGATTTATTAAGCACCTATTCTGTGTCAGAAACTGTGCTGAGTATTTCATGTGTACTATGTTATTTAATGCACATCATAGACCTATGTGGTGGCTACTAACTTATTCTCATTAAAAAAAAAAAGTGGTGGCTACTAACTTATTCTCATTAAAAAAAAAAAAAAACCTGAAATGTAAAGAGGTTAAGCGGGCACATAGTGAGTAAGTGGCTTATGTCAACTCTTTCTTTCCTGTGTCAGTTGTACTGCTGTAACTCAAATAGATCATTGTATTACCATTTACAATCCCAAGTTAAAGAATTTCCAGAATCAGGTTTGACATCTCCTATCAGTGCCTTATACACTTTAATATTCTCTTCTCTCAGGAGGGGGAGGTTCCAATTTTCATATTATATTCATATGTTTCACATCTATCATTGTTTTCCCCTCAGCTTTCTCTTCTGCATGATTCAAACAAATAATAGCAGACAAATTCTTGTTAACATTCTTCCAAGATGGTGCTTTCTAAAGAGTCAGTTACTTAGGTTTCTTTCAACTCAGACTTTGATTGCTCTTTATTCTACTAAGGAGTGAATGATACAAAGCAGATATTCATTATTTGTGATTACGAACAGACAGCAAAAAAATCAATGGCAAACAAAAATGGAAAGTTGTTTCATGTTTTGAATGAGACAGACTTTTATTTTTAATGCTGATTAAAACATAAAGAAATGGTAATTAAAACATAGAGAAGAATATTATGAGGACAAGCCTGTTTTCAGAGAGGAGCTTGGTTTCTTTTTGTTCTGACATTTGTGTAATTTCAACAAAATATATTTCAACCCATTAAGCATTAATTGAATGAGACAGGTATTTATTGAATATATACTTTGTTCTCAGAATTTATGAAGAATATAGACTCTGTATAAAAAAAATGGACCCTGCCCTGAAGAGCTAGCAATTTTGTGAATGAGAGAAGACAAACCTAAATATAATTATATCCAAGGCAGTTCATATTAAATGCACTTCTACCCTTTCTTCCAGTTCTTTAGCAATATCTGACAATTTTTCACTAAAACTTCTCTTTAATCTGTCTTCCTCTTCAGAGAAGTTTGATTTTGAATTTCAGAAATGCCTAATTTATGCTTTAGAGATTAGAATAAGTTTTTCCTCCATTTATTGCTTGATTATTGTGATCAGTTCTTAAGTCTGAATTGAAATCCTGAGAGATGCTTGCCTGCTACCCACTTTAAGATGCATCTTTATGATCCTCTTATGCCACAGAGTCATCAGAAATTGGGCCTTCCCTCGTGATTCACACCACTGTCCCATTTGGAGTTACATACTTGGAACACAGCATTGAGGATGTGCAAGAGTTAGTCTTCCAGCAGCTGGAAAACATTTTGCCGGGTTTGCCTCAGCCAATTGCTACCAAATGCCAAAAATGGAGACATTCACAGGTAATCAAAGAATCCAGTGGTCTAAGCACAACAATTTTCTTAACAGGCTCACAGAACTGATGTTACTTCTTTATCCTTTGCACTCTCTAGTGAAATAAATTAACTATGTGATCCTTGGAGCAAATATGTGTTTGCCCAACACATAAATATAACTTCTATGGGTTTTATGGTCCTGCTGTTTCTCAACAAGAAGTGCATAGAATTTCCACCAATGTTGTCTTCAAATTCAAGCATCTCAAGACTTACAAACCTTGATATTCCGAGGTCTTCTCTTCAGATAAGGCAGGTTATATCTCCAAATGCAGCTGTTTCTTTGGGGTTTTTCTAGATCAGTACTGTGGATATTTAGAAACCACTATAACTTCCCAAGATTTTGCAATATGTCAAATTAACCTTGTAAGTGTATTTTGCTACCACAATTTTCATTTTTATTAAGTTTCCACTTTGGTTTTGACTGCTGCCAGCTGAGCTCTCTGGGGGAGAGAGATAAGTACCTGCATAGGACAGCTAGTTGAGCTGTTTTTCAGGGTTAAATTAAACCTGCTGATCACTCTACTAGTTCAAACTTAAAGCTCCTTATACTAAGTAAATGTTGACTTTTTCTGAAAATTTCTGCATATTTCAATGGAAGTGAGTATTCATAGAAAAAGTCTTTTGATCCGTAAACTCAGTAGTGAAGTCATTTAGGGGACAACGAAGCAAAGGGCAGATACAGGAGAAAAAGCAGTGAGTTGTCCATTTTTTTCCTGGGATTTCTGAGCTTGTTGACGAACTGATTTATCAGCCCTATTGGTTATCCAAGCTGTGAAGCCTGTAGAAAAAGTGGTGTTGTGGGAAATTGCAGTTGATTTTGTATATTTTAAAGGGCTTTCCAAAATCAGAGGAAATAGTAAATTATTTCCTAAAATATTGTAGCAGGTCTATGTTTTACTCATATCTTCTCAAGTCAAATTACACAGTGAATCTTTGGGGAAAAATATTTACTTAAGCATGTCATGGTCACTTTAGAAGACTTTACTTTTTCCTTTTAAAAGCATTGAAAAATCTAAATAGCTATTATCTTTAAGTGATATTGAACTCAATTTTAAGTTGGCTTGAAAAAGAAAACAGGGAAATAATCTTGTTGATATACTTTGAAGCTAGATATATTACACATCAAGTCACTTTGTGATTTATAAATACTTCTTTAAAAGAAACATTCGTTTATGAGGTTTCCTCTTGTGCCTTTCTCGTAATTTATTAATAAACTGAAAAAGTGGATTTAAAATCTACTTATTTCTTAAAATTTGATGTGTTAATAAAAATAGATTTGTCCTAACCACAAAATGGTCTAATCAAAGTTGTGCAATATCACAAAATTTAATAAAAATCTTTGAACACAATGTACCTCCAAACCCTAGCAATGATTTTGTTACAATTTGGATGTTGAAATTATCTCACTATATTTACGACTCTGAAGTCATGAAGTCTACATTGGCTGCAAAACCTGAAAGGGAGTAAGTTATCATCCAGACTTAGAAGTTTGCATATTCCACTATTCATATACTTCTCACAGTAACTTGAGGACCATTTTACAGAACATAACATTGTCATTTATGGTAGAAATGTGGGAGGGTAGGGGGCATATTGGAAATCTCTATAACTTCCTCTCAGTTTTGCTATGAACCTAAAACTGTTCTGAAAAAAAAAAGTGAAGTCAATTTAAAAATAGAAAAAATTCAAATTAAAAATGTATCTAGTGGTAAAGATAAGCCCTAAATAGATTATTTTAAATATATATGTTTTAAAAGCAGTCTTATGAGTTTGTTAGTTTTAACTCTCTATAGTGATGAGCACACGAAGCCTCACAGAGATGAAATAACTTCCTTCAATCCCCACAGCTAATAATGACAAAACCAGTCTACCTGCCTCTCAAGTCCTTCCATCCTCTTCACCCACCTTATATTTCCTATTGTTGTTGTAACAAATTCTCAAAAACTTGGTAGTGGGAAACAACACAAATTTATTATCTTACAGTCCTGGAGGTCAGAGTCGAAAATGGGTCTCACTGGAATAAAATCCAGGTGTGGTCAGGCTGCATTTCTTTCTAGAGGCCCTAGGAGAGAATCCATTTTCTTGCCTTTGTCATCTTCTAGAAGCTGCCCACATTCCTCAGCTTGAGACCCCTCCCATCTTCAAAGCCAGCAACAGCAGGTCAAATCCTTCTTCCACTCTGACCTTTTCTTCTGCCTCACCCTTGTGATGACATTGGGCCCACCTGTGTGGTCCAAGATACTTATCCCATCTCAGCTTCAGCTCACTCATAATTTTAATCCATCTGCAACCTAAAATCTTCCTTTCCATTGACGTAACATATTTGTAGGTTCCAGGGATTAAGACATGGATGTCTGTGGTAGGGGCATTACTTCTGCCTGCCACACCCTCCTTTCTCCCAAATCCCTTGATGGATCCCCTTGATGAGGCATTGTTTCCTTCTTCCTCATAAAACCTCTGGAGAGAGCATCAGCCATGTAAGGCTCAAGCCTCCCTAAGGGAACACCTGCTATCTGCAAGAGATAAGAGGAGTATTTTGTGTGGGGACAGTTTCTGATTTCCCTGGTGTTGCTCTCCCAAGCCTAGTGCTGTTCCTAATGTCGCATATCCATATCCACAATTGCAACAGTGGGGTAAAAAATGTTTTTTCATTTTTTCATTTGGTAACTCATTTATTCAATAAGCGTTTAATGAATGCCTACAATATGGCTAGTACTCTGCTCAGGAAACCCTAGAGACTAATATTTGCTGACGGCCTTCTCCTAAGACTCTAAATTGAAGTTTGTCTAGGGCAAGCTAATGGTGCATTCTTGTGGGTGCTACTCTTAAATGAGGAAAGAGGCAGGTGAAGAAAGAAGGCGTTTTTTGAAAGACTTGGGAGCTGTTTCTGTGCATCCCATTTTTAATTTGAATAAAGCACTTGAGTAGGTGGTTCAAACAAACAGAAAAGCAATGGCAGACTTTTTGTGGTTCTCAGTTCCTCCCTTTTGCAGCTATTTGCCTTCCATAATTTAAATGTTTAGCCAGTTAATATAACTTGATGCTTAGTCTGTTATGCATTGAATTAAGGTTTCTGTAACAAGTATGATATATTAACTCTTTCTTTCACTAGAAGCAGAATTACTGAAAATGTCTTTCCATGTACCTTGACAGGGGACATTTAATCAGTTTGATAACCGTAATACTCTGACCATTATTTTATGCTGTGCTTTCCTTTGTTTCAGTGTCTATCATGATGCCCTTCTCAAACTATAGTAAATTTCTGATTTGCATTCAGGTTTAGCTCTAATTTTCCCCCTCTTTCTTCAATTCCAGAAAATGTGAGTGGCCCTTTTCCTTACCTTATGTAGCACTCTCATGATTACTTTATTTTTTAATCTCCAAATGTACATTCAGATACCAAGGAAATCAGGAGAGGAACTTAGGGGCAGGAAATGAATGAATACATTGATATTCAATATCTTTGGAAAAATAAATGGATGTGGACTAGCATAGTAAGCTTGTACAGTACAATTAGAAATCAGTTATCTTCTGTAGTTATATATCTTCACTTAATAACTCAATATTTTGCCCTGAGCTTGTACCTTTTCTCTTCCTTTTCTTTCTTTTTTTTTTTTTTTTTTTTTTTTTTGGCAGAGGTAGGCTCTAAATCTGTCACCCAGGCTGGAGTGCAGTGCATGATCAGAGCTGACTACAGCAGCCTGCCTCAAACTTCTGAGCTCAAGTGATCCTCTCACCTCAGCCTCCTGAGTAGCTGGGATTACAGGTGCACACTACTGTTCCCGGTTAATTTTTTAAAATGTTTGTAGTCACGGGGTCTTGCTATGTTGCCCAGGCTGGTCTCAAACTCCTGGCCTGAAGTGATCCTCCTGCTTTGGCCTCCCAAAATGCTAGGATTACAGTCATAAGCCTCTTTCAGTTGTTTAAAGAGAAGGATCATGAATTTTTAAAGGATCTAATGAAAGCTATAAACATAAACATTCTCTTTATTAAAAAAAATACATGTACACATAAACACAAAAAGTACACACAATTATCAGGATTTATTGGCAACCTAAATTCCTTCCATGAATCCAGTGTTAGGAACACCTGCTGTAAATGTTATACCGCTATTACCTGAATAAATCAAGAGTCTCTCGTGGCCCAGTCTTGGCATATTGTTGCAGTCAAAAAGATATAATCCAGCAATCAAAAAGTATTTATTTACGCATACATTTTTTGAGACAGGGTCTCGCTTTATCACCCAGGCTGGAGTGCAGTGGTTATGACCTCAGTTCACTGCAGCCTCGACTTCCCCGGCTCAAGCAATCCTCCTCAGCCCCCAAGTAGCTGGGGCTACAGGCACACTCCACCCCATCTGCGGCTAATTTTTTGTATTTTTTTGTAGAGGTGAGGTTTCATCATGTTGCTGAGGCTGGTCTTGAACTCCAGGACTCAAGCGATCTGCCTGCCTTGGCCTCCCAAAATGCTAGGATTATAAGTATGAGCACCACACCTGGCCGCAAACAGTATTTAAAATAACTCCAATCTTTACTGGTATCTCTTATAGAACTTTAAAGAATTTCCAAAATGTATCATTCACAACAACTCTTTTGGAAAGCTCTCTTCTCATTCCTTGCATGGCCCTCTTAACGAAAACTCCCTCGAATCCTCTCTTTGCTCTCTTAATAACCCACAGAAACTTTCTCTGACAATTAGCCATGTCGGCTTGTCATTTTTTCTTTCCTTTCTTCAACCTTCCATTCACATTCTTTACTTTTGACTCTATCCTTTTATTCCCCTCCCACCTCTTAAACAAGGAAGTCTTTGCCCTTTTCAATACAAAGTTTCCATTTGGCTCCTTCAGGCCTTTTCCAGCTGATTACCTCAGTTACCCATAGTACTGCTAGGAGTTAAAAGGAGTAAGAGAGAAAAGGGGAAATGTGCAATGGCTGAAGGGCAGAATTTTTCTTACAGATTTTGTTTGGTGGGGGAAGTGGATGTGCACACAGAAGAGCTTGAGACCACCCGTACGTTTACATTATCCCCTCATGAGATTAATTTCTGGTGAGTAATAGTGTCTAATTTCAGCATTGAAAAGTCAGGTGGTGATTGATATTTTAATTTTTTCTTGCTTTTTCCCATGCATTTTCTTTTTCTTTTCCTTATTTTTTAACTTTTAAGTTCAGGGGTACGCGTGCAGGTTTGTTGTATGGGTAAATTTGTATCATAGGGGTTTGTTGTACAGATTATTTTATCACCCGGGTATTAAGCCTAGTACCCATTATTTCTCCTGATCCTCTCCCTTCTCCCACCCTATACCCTCCACCCTCTGATAGGCCCTTGGGTGTATTGTTCCCCTCTATGTGTCCATGTGTTCTCATCATTTAGCTCCCACTTTTAAGTGAGAACATGTGATATGTGGTTTTCTGTTCCCGCATTAGTTTGCTAAGGAGAATGGCCCCCAGCTTCGTCCATGTTTTCCTGCAAAGGACATGATCCCATTCTTTTTTATAACTGCATAGTGTTCCATGGTGTAGATGTATCACATTTTCTTTATCCAGTCTATCATTGATGGGAATTTAGGTTCATTCTATGTATTTGCTATTGTGAATAGCACTGCAATGAACATATGTGTACATGTATCTTATAATAGAACAACTTATATTCCTTTGGGTATGCATCTAGTAATAAGATTACTGGGTTGAATGACATTTGTGATTTTAGGTCTTTAAGGAATCGCCACACTGTCTTCCACAATGGTTGAACTAATTTACAATCCCACCAACAATGTGTAAGCACTCCTTTTTCTCCTCAACCTCACCAGCATCTGTTATTTTTTAATAGTAGCCATTCTGACTGGTGTGAGATTTCACTGTGGTTTTGATTTGCATTTCTCTAATGATCAGCGATGTTCAGCTTTTTTTTCATCTGAATTTTGGCCATATGTATGTCTGCTTTTGAAGTGTCTGTGCTTGTCCTTTGCCCACTTGTTAATGGGGTTTTTTTTTTATTTTTTGTAAATTTGTTAAGTTCCTTATAGTTGCTGGATATTAGACCTTTGTCAGATGCATAGTTTGCAAAAATTTTCTCTTATTCTATAGGCTGTCTGTTCACTCTGTTGTTAGTTTCCTTTGCTACACAGCTCTTCAAATAGATCTCATTTGTCAATTTTTGCTTTTGTTGCAATTGCTTTTGGCGCAATTGCTTTTGGCATCTTTGCCATGAAATCTTTGCCTCTTCCTATGTCCAGAATGGATTGCCTAGGTTGTCTTCCAGGGTGTTTATAGCGTTGGGTTTTTCACTTAAGTCCTTAATTCATTTTGAGTTAATTTTTGCATATGGTGTAAGGAAGGGGTCCAGTTTCAATCTTCTGCATATGGCTAGCCAGTTATCCCAGCATCATTTATTGAATAGGGAATCCTTTCCCCATTGCTTGTTTTTGTCAAAGATCAGATAGTTGTAGGTGTGTGGCCTTATTTCTGAGTTCTCTATTCTGTTCCATTGGGCTATGTGTCTGTTTTTGTACCAATATCATGCTGTTTCAGTGCCTCCAGCTTTGTTCCTTTTGCTTAGGATTGCCGTGGCTATTCAGGCTCTTTTTTGGTTCCATATAAATTTTAAAATAGTTTTTTCTAGTTTTTTGAAGAATGTTAATGGTGGTTTAATAGCAATAGCATTGAATCTATAAATTGCTGTGGGCAGCATCGCCATTTTAACAATATTGATTCTTCCTATCCATGAGCATGAAATGCTTTTCCATTTGTTTGTGTCATCTCTGTCTTCTTGGAGCAGTGTTTTGTAGTTCTCCTTGAAGAGATCTTCCACCTCCCTGGTTAGCTGTGTTCCTAGGTGTTTCATTCTTTTTGTGGCAATTGTGAATGGGATTGCATTCCTGATTTGGCCCTTGGCTTGACTATTGTTGGTACATAGGAATGTTAGTGATTTAGTGATTTTTGCACGTTGATTTTGTATCCTGAGACTTTGCTGAAGTTGTTTATTAGCTTAAGAAGCATTTGGGCTGACAGTGAGGTTTTCTAGATATAGGATCATGCCATCTACAAACAGGGTAGTTCAACTTCCTCTTCCTATTTGGATGTCCCTTATTTCTTTCTCTTGCCTGATTGCCCAGGTGGGCCAGGACTTCCAATATTATGTTGAATAGGAGTGGTGAGAGAGAGCATTCTTGTCTTTTGCTGGTTTTCAAAGGGAATACTCCTAGCTTTTGCCCATCCAGTATGATGTTGGCTGTGGATTGTCATGGATGGCTCTTATTATTTTGAGGTATGTTCCTTCAATACCTAGTTTATCGAGAGTTTTTCACATGAAAGGGTATTGAATTTTATCAAAAACCTTTTCTGCATCTATTGAGGTAATCATGTGGTTTTTGTATTTAGTTCTGTTCACATGATGAATCATATTTATTGATTTGCATATGTTGAACTAACCTTGTATCCCAGGGATAAAGCCTACTTGATCATGGTGGATAAGATTTTGATGTGCTGCTGGATTTGTTTACCAGTATTTTATTGAAGATTTTTGCATCAATGTTCAAGGATATTGGCCTGAAGTTTTCTTTTTTTGTCATGTCTGTGCTACGTTTTGGTATCAGGATGATGTTGACCTCATAGAATGAGTTAGGGAGGGGTCCCTTCTCCTCAAATTTTTGGAATAGTTTCAGCAGGAATGGTACCAGCTCTTTGTACATCTGATAGAATTCAATGGTGAATCTGTTTGGTCCTGAGATTTTTTTGGTTCGTAGGCTACTTGTTACTGACTCAACTTCAGAGCTTATTATTGGTCTGTTCAGGAAATCCGTTTCTTCCTGGTTTAGTCTTGGGAGGGTGTATGTATCCAGGAATATATTCATTTATTGTATATTTTCTAGTTAATAATCATAGAGGTGTTCATAATATTCTCTGATGGTTGTTTGTATTTCTGTAGGGTCAGTGGTAATATCCTGCTTGTTTTTTCGTATTGTGTTTATTTGGATCTTCTCTCTTTTCTTCTTTATTAGTCTAGCTAGCAGTCTGTGTATTTTATTAATTTTTTTCCAGAAAACAGCTCCTGAATTCATCGATATTTTGAATGGTTTTTTTGTGTCTCAATCTCTTTCAGTTCAGCACTGATTTTGGGTATTTCTTGTCTCTGCTAGCTTTGGTATGTATTTGCTCTTGGTTCTGTAATTATTTTAGTTTTGGTGTTAATTGTTAGCTTGAGATCTTTCCAACTTTTTCAGGTGGACATTTAGTACTATAAATTTCCCTCTTAACACTGCCTTTGCTGTGTTCCAGAGATTTGGATATGTTGTATCGTTGTTCTCATTAATTTCAAATAAATTCCTGATTTCTGTCTTTATTTCATTATTTACCCAGATGTTATTCAGGAGCAGGTTATTCAGTTTTCATGTAACTATATGGTTTTGAGTGAATGTCTTAGTCTTGATTTCTAATTTGATTGTGCTGTGGTCTGAGAGATTGTTTGTTATGATTTCAGTTCTTTTGCATTTGCTGAGGAGTTTTTTACTTCCTATAATGTGATCAATTTTAGAATGTGTGCCAGATGACAATGAGAAGAATGTATAGTCTGTTGTTTTTGGTGGACAGTTCTGTAGATATCTATCAGCTCCATTTGATCCAGTGCTGAGTTTAAGTTCTGAATATCTTTGTTAATTTTCTGTCTGTATCATCTGCCTAATGTTATCAGTGGGGTGTTAAAGATCCCCACTATTATTGTGTCAGAGTCTAAGTCTATTTGAAAGTATCTAAGAACTTGATTTATGCATCTAGGTGCTCCTGTATTGGGTGCATATATATTTAGGATAGTTAGATCTTCTTGTTGAATTGAACCCCTTACCATTATGTAATGCCCTTCTTTTTTTATCTTTGTTGGTTTAAAATCTGTTTTGTCTGAAACTAGGATTGCAACCCCTGCTTTCTTCTCTTTTCCATTTCCTTGGTAGATCCCTTTATTTTGAGCCTATATGCATCATTGCATGTGAGATGGGTCTCTTGAAGACAGCATAATGGGTTTTGGTTTTTTATCCAGCTTGCCACTCTTTGTCTTTTAGTTGGGATATTTAGCCCATTTATATTCAAGTTTTGTACTGATATGTGTATACTTGATCCTGTTATCATGATGTTAGCTTGTTATTTTGCAGACTTGTTTATGTGGTTGCTTTATGGTGTCACTGGTCTTCAGTGTGTTTTTGTAATGGCTGGTAACCGTCTTTCCTTTCCATATTTAGTGCTTCCTACAGGAGCTCTTGTAAGACAGGTCTGGTGGTAACGAGTTCCCTCAGTATTTGCTTGTCTGTAAAGATTCTTATTTCTTCTTCTTCTTCTTTAAGCTTATGAAGCTTGGTTTTGCCAGATATGAAATTCTGGGTTGGAATTTCCTTCCTTTAAGAATATTGAATACTGGCCACCAATCTTTTCTGGCTTGTAGAGTTTCTGCTGAGAGGTCCGCTGTTAGTCTGATAGATTTCCCTTTGTAGATGACCTGACCTTCCTCTCTTGCTGCCTTTAACATTATTTTTTTCATTTTGACCTTGGAGAATCTCACAATTATGTATCTTGGGGATGATCTTCTTGTGAAGTATCTTACTAGGGTTCTCTGTATTTCCTGATTTTGAATGTTGGTTTCTCTAGCTAGGATGGGGAGGCTCTCATGGACAATGTCCTGAAATATGTTTTCCAAGTTGGTTCTATTCTTTTCATCTCTTTCAGGGACACCAATGATTTATAGATTTGGTCTCTTTACATAATCCCATATTTCTTGGAGGTTTAGTTCACTCCTTTTCATTCTTTTTTCTCTATTCTTGCCTGACCATCTTATTTCAGAAAGCCAGTCTTTAAGCGCCGAGATTCTTTCCTCCACTTGGTCTATTCTGCTGCTAATACTAGTGATTGCATTATGAAATTCTTGTAATGTGTTTTTCAGCTCTTTCAGGTCAGTTATGTTATTTTCTATACCAATTATTTTGTCTGTCAGCTCTTGCCTTGTTTTATCATTATTTTTGGCTTCCTTGGATTGGGTTTCAACATGAAGCTCAGTGTTCTTCATTCCTATCCATATTCTGAATTCTATTTCCGTCATTTTGGCCATCTCAGCCAGTTCAGAACTCTTGCTAGAGAGGTAATGTGGTCATTTGGAGGAAAGAAGGCACTCTGGCTTTTTGAGTTTTCAGGGTTCTTGCACTGATTCCTTCTCATCTTTGTGAGCTTATCTATCTTCAATCTTTGAGGTTGCTGACCTTTGGATTTTTTGCCCCTTTTATCCTATTTGATGACCTTGAGAGTTTGATTGTGGCATAAGGTTGATTAAACCAACTGGCTTCATTTCTGAAAGACTGTAGGGGGCCAACACTTAGCTCCCAACTCCTGGTCTGCATGCTGTAACTCTGCAAGACTTGTAGTGGGCCCCAACTTTGTTCTCTGGCTCCTCAAGGTTAGCAGCCCACTGTGATGGTGGGACCAAGGTATGGCTGCTGCAGCAGAGTATTAGCAGATGCCAGGGTGCTTGCCTCCCTGTGAGTGTTCACCACATTGGTGGAGGTAATGCAGCTGGTGACTGTGTACACAGTCGCACTGGAAGTGGTCTTGGCCTGGGGGCAGGGTGCTGGCTGGCACAGGTCTGGGTGCCTTCTCTTTGCACTGGAAGTGGGAGTGAAGGGGAAGGGGAAGATCTGCTGTTCTCTGTGCAGTATTAATACAAGGGTGGGGCACTGATGGAGGTAAGGCTGGCTGGTTTTGTGCCCATCAAGGCTGTCTGCAATGGTGATTGGTAGGGGGAGGGTGGGCGGACTGCAAAACCCACCCCATACAGACATGCACCGGCAAAGCAAAGCAAAGCAAAGCAATGTGGACAGTTGCCATGGGCCTGAGGGAAGCTGTAGTACAGGGAAGGAGTGGGCAGGCTGGTGCATGGTTGTAGAGGCTGCCCTACTGCAGCTCTGCACTCGTCAGGCACAGTCCACCAGTACAGAAGCTATAGTGTAGGGCCGCAGGATACCTGGGACTGCCCTGCAAGCAGGCATGGCCTGAGCTGGTGCTCAGGTCAGCATAGCCCCATCTAATGGGCAAGATTGTCTTTCGGAGATCAGGTCCAACAGTTCCTCTAGAGCTAAAGTCTCCTAGGAGCAAGTCAAGCCTAGGGGCATGGCCATCCCTGGCTGTACTTCACTACTGATCCTCCTGCACCAAACCATCTGGGCTCCACATCAGCTGGCTTGCTGCCCCTACCTCTTCTCTAAGCAGCTCTCCCTGCCAACTTGATTTCCATGGTGATTAAGGAATCTTCTCCTGCCAGAGTTCCACAGGCCTATGGTGAGAGCAGGTTGCTCCTTGCCAGTTTAACTTACCCATTCCCCTGGAGCCACTGTGGCCAGGAATGAGTCCAGGTGTGCAGTAGCCCCATGCAGTGTTCCCAGCTTTCTCCTTCTTTAGTACAGCTTCTGTGTCTTCCCTCAGTCCACTTTGGGTGCCTTCCTTCTGAAGATCTATTAGGAGCATGTCAGTTGTCTTGGTCCCTCAGTGGGAGCCATTCCACCTGGCTGCATCTAGTCAGCCATCTTGCCTCCCCCCTCTCCCTGCATTTTTCTATTACCCTCATTTTCTCCTTTTAGATGAGTTGGAACTGGAAGGTAGTGGCTGATATCATGTATATACCAAACTTGTAAATCCAAAAGATTGTTGTCCTCTTCAAAGTAGTCAGCCACCTCGACAAACTACACCCTTATTTCAATAAAATTGGGCATCTCTTTCATAGTCTGACACATATTCTTCAACATATCATCAGTTGGATCAGGTCTTTGAAACTTGAGGTTCAATTTATTGTTTTTAAAACCACAGTCATTTGTACTTAACTCATTTAAATCAAATGGATGGTCAGTCTTAACAATTAAAAAAAATTTAGAGGTAACTAAAGAAATACAACTGGCTTATATTTGTTTATCTGTTTTAATGTAGCCAGTAAGCTGATTTTAATAGCAATTTTGAATCTGGCAACCTTCAAAGACATTGGCCAGTTCATCGTCATGGATATAAATACATAGCCTTCTAAGATAAGTACTTTGAAAGACAACAATCAATTGTGTTTATCAGTTAGAGTACATTAGGTGTTTTGTTTCGTAGTTCTTTTCCATAATAAAATCAAGCTCTTTTGGTTATTCTGTCACTATTCCTATGACTTTTCTCCCATATTTGTGCTTTATAATTCCTGGATTTTTAATAATGTGATATAATTATGATCTTGGACTTTGGCATAATGCAGAGTCATTTCAAACCTTTGGGCAGGCTGGACCATAACTCTATGTCTCAAGGTCCTCATCTGTAAATGGTAACAACTGAACATGCCTCTTAGACTTGTGGTTAAGGTGAAATGAGAGAACACAGTAGAAAACATTTACTACAGACATTAGTACAAAGCAAGTTATCAATTAATATTACCAGTAGTAGTAATAAGAGGAGGAGGAGATGAGGTGACAGTGCTTTGATGGTCATTTCTTTGTTGGTAGCTTAGCTCTGTGTTCGTTGCTCTCTTTTCTTGATTACCTCTCTTCATGCCCACATGTCCCACTTTTTCTCTTTTGTTTCTCACTCTTTTATCTTTTCAAAGTTTATCTCTTTTCTCTTCTCTCTGTTTTACATAAGTAAATAGTCTGGATAGGACCAATTCAATGCCAGGGACTATGACACTTAGTCATTACCATAAGGGACTGTTGAATAACATCAGAACAAGGTGCGATGAAAGTGATAGATCCCTGTGGACACAAGGAACTCTTGCCAGTTGGTTTGTTGTTGTTGGTTTTTAAGCTTAAAGATTTTCCAGCTTCTTACCAATCATTCCTAAACTAACTTGCACATTTTCCAGTGTTTGATAATTTAACACAGTTGGGCCATGAGTCAACATTTCCCAACAAGAAATTATGGCCACAAGAGTATCTTGCCTATGTATCATAAGTTATAGTGACCTTCGGATAACCAAAATGGGCCCTTTGGGACAGGTGGACTGTAGTATGACCCAATTTATCAACATCAGGAAACCTAACAGGTGTCAATCATAAGCATTGCGTTGAGTAATTGCCCACCTCCTTGTCATCAGCACATAACTAACCACTTGTTTCAGTTTATTATGAGGTAGTACATATGTGTGAGATCATCACCTGAGAAATTCTGATCATTGAATTAGGATGTACACTCACAGTTTAATTGAAGTTTATATAGGCAGGTATTTCCCCTTTTCGCAAAATTCCATATTACATAAACTATTAAATGTTTTAACACATAAGAATTTAATGAAGTCATTTTTTTCTCATATACTCTTGGGACTTACTCTGCCATGTAGTCAGTATCACACTTATTCAGAATAACTAATTATTTTGACCAGCAAATACTTTATAAAAAACTTTAAAAAGGAGTCTGTGTCATTGGCACTGGGCAAATACTAAATATATTCACTTGCCCCCAGCATTAATACTTAAAATTGGACGGTGGATGTTATTACATAGGCATAGATGCTCTGCAAGAAATAGGCCCTATTTCAGCACTTTCCCATAAAGAGTAAATCTACTTGGTCTATTTAAGTAAACATCAGTATTATGCTATAAAACTAACAAACAAAAAAAGTTTAGTAGTCATATCCAGATTATAAATTAATACTATATACTCATCTTTTCATTAAACACATATTTGTTGAGCTTCCACTATGTGTCAAACATTGAACTGGGTTCTAAAGACTCAAAGACAGCTCCCTTCCTTTAAAGAGTTTTCCATATAATCAATCAGCAAGGGTAACCAATAAGCACATAATCCTGATATAGTACAGTTTGCCATACAAAAACTATGTACAATATACTATGTGAGCACAGAGCAGACTTTGGGAGGAAGTGGTAAGAAGTAGCTCCTAAAAGAAGATGTCACTTGAGCTAAATCCTTCAAAATGAGGGAGACAGGTAAAGTTAGTGATGTTGGAGCAGTGTTCCAAGAACACATGTACTTTTTCAGAAGCAAAAGAGGCAAAGAATACTTGAGGAATGACCAGTAGCTCAGTTTGGCTGAAATTGAACTTGGTCTTTGCCATCGTGTATTGTAGCACTTTTGTATACCATGATAATTCACATCAGCATTTTATTAGACAGTCTCTCTTTCTCTCTCTCTTTCAAGAATGCAACTTATTAATTCCTTACTCACTGTAGCTCACTGGGCTCTTTATGTTAACTCACTTTATACTCCAACCACCTTGTGGAGTTTGTATCCCTTCCTCATCACATAGATGAGAAAACTGAGGATTAGAGGGCTCAGATATCTTATGTGTGTTTCAGCTGCTAGGAAGTGGCAAAGCTGGCATTCAAATGCAGTCCTATTTAAAAGCTAGTGCTTTTAAACACCTCACTTCACTGCAGTAATTTTTTGAGTTCTGGCTTTCTCCCAATTATGACACCTTCTTATATCATTCTTTTTTTGCTGCTGTCAGCTAGAAATAATCATAGTTAACATTTATACTCTGATTTTAGAAAACACTTGTATACTTGTTTTCATTTGATCCTCACAACTGTTCTGACAGATCAGGAAGTAAATATTATCTTTACTTTAAATGAGGAAATCAATGTTCCTATTGAACATTTTTCTTAAAGAACTAGTGAACAACAAAATAGAATTTGGAAGACACAACTTTATATTCAAAAGTTGATGTTTCACAGAATATACAAAAATTAACTAAAAATGGATCATAGACCTGAACATAACACCTTAAATTCTAAAACTGCTAGATGAAAACATAAGAGAAAATCTTTAAGACCTTGGATTTAGTAAACATTTCTCTTTTTTTGAAATGGAGTCTTGCTCTATTGCGCAGGCTGGAGTACAGTGGCACAATCTTGGCTCACTGCAACCTCCACCTCACGGGGTCAAGCAATTCTCCTGCCTCAGGCTCCTGAGTAGCTGGGATTACAGGCGCACGCCACGGTGCCTGGCTAATTTTTTTGTATTTTTAGTAGAGATGGGGTTTCACCATCTTGGCCAGGCTGGTCTTAAACTCCTGACCTCAAGTGATCCGCCTGTCTCAGCCTCCCAAAGTGCTGGGATTACAGGCGTGAACCACCCATGCCTGGCAACATTTCTTAGATAGAACACAGAAAAGCGCAAACCATACAGAAAGAAACTGATAAATTGAGCTTAATTAAAATCAAAAACAGTGTCTTTGAAAGACACTATTAGGAAAATGAAAAGACAGCCACAGACTTGGAGAAAATGTTGCAAAGGACATATCTGTAAAAGCATTTATCAGTAAAAGGCTAGTATTCAGAATATGCAAAGAACTCTCACAAATCAATAATTTAAAAAACAAACAGCACAATTATCTAAAAAATGGGCAAAAGACTTAAAAGAGTACTTCACTAAAGAAGAGATGTGAATTTACTATGGAGTTATAAGAATTCTACACTGAAAACTACAAAACATTGCTGAAAGACATTTAAAAAGACCTAAATAAATAAAAACACATCATATATTGAAAGAGGTAATATTTTTAAGATGGCAGTATTAACCAGAGTGATCTACAGACTCGTTTCAGGCTCTATCAAAATTGCAATGGCCTTTGCAGAAATGAAAGAGCCAAAATTTATACGGAACCACAAGGACCCCCTGATAGCCAAAACAATCTTGAAAAAAAGAACAAAGTTAGAGGACTCACACGTTCTCTTTTCAAATCTTACTGCAAAACTACAGTAATCAAGACAGTGTGGTACTGACATAAGGACAGGCATAGATCAATGGAATGTAATTGAAAGTTCAGAAATAAACCTATACCTATAGTCAATTGATTTATGACAATATTCTTAAGAACATTCAATGGAGAAAGAATAATCTTTTCCTTATATAGTGCAGGAACAACTTGATATCCACATACAAAAGAGTGAGCTGGACCCTTACATCACACTGCACACGAAAATTCACCCAAAATGGATCAAAAACCTAAATATGCAAGGTAAAATAATAAAACTTCTAGAAGAAAACATACTGGTAAATCTTCATAACCTCGGATTTGGCAATGGTTTCTTAGATACAACACCAAAAATATAACCAACAAAAGAAAAGATAATTTGGACTGGACTGCATCAAAATTCAATACTTTTGTTCATCAAAGTATTATCAAAACAGTGAAAAGATAACCCAAAGGATGGGAGAAAATATTTATGAGTCACATATCTGATAAGAATCTACTATCTAGAATGTATAAAGAACTCTTACAACAGCAAAAAATAAAAAATAAAAATAAAAAAACCAACCCAATTAAAAAATGAGCAAAGGAGTTGAATAGACATTTTCCCAAAGAAGAAATACAAATGGCCAATAAGCACATGAAAAGGTAAAAATCATTATTCCTTTGGGAAATGCAAATCAAAATCACAATAAGATACTATTTCACTACCATTAGGATGGCTACAAGATACAGAATAATAAGTGTTAGAGAGGATGTGAAGAAATGGAACACTTGTACTTTGCTAGTGGGAATGTAAAATGGTGCAGCCACTGTGGAAAACAGCTTGGTGGTTCCTCAAGTTAAGCATAGAATTACAATATGACCCAGCAATTCCACTCCTAGATGTATAATCAAAAGAAATGAAAGCATGTGTTCAAACAAAACTGCATACACAAATGTTCACAACAACACACTTTAGCCACAAGTGGAAACATCCCAAATGTCTATCAACTAATGAATGGATAAACAATATATATTATATCCATACAGGGGAATATCATTCAGCCATAAAAAGGGATGAAGTACTGATACATGCTATAACATGAATGAACCTTGAAAACATGTTATATGAAAGAAGCCAGTCATAAAGATAACATCTCTTGAATGATTCCATTCATATGAAACATGCAGTATAGGCAAATCCATAGAGACAGAAAGCAGATTAGTGTTTACCGGTCACTAATTGCAAATTTTATGTGTATTTCACCAAACACACAAAAAAGAGGAGATGTGAATGGCAACTGAGCACACAGAAAGACAATGACCATCAATGGTCATTAAGGGAGTTCAAATTACAACCATGATGAAATACTACGACATGCCTACAAGAAAACATGCTATGTGAAAGAAACCAGTCACGGCTCAGATCAGAAACTCTGAAGATGACAAATGCTGGCAAGGATGTGAAACAACTGTAACTCTCACATATCACTGGTAGGAATGCAAAATGGCACAGCCACTTTGAGAAATACTTTGGCAGTTTCTTACAAAGTTAAACATGCACTTACCACGTGACCCAGCAACCCCACTCTTAGAGATTTACCCAAGAACAATGAAGACATGCATCCTCACAAAAACCTATAACCAAATAATATTAGCAGCTTTATTAATAATTGCTGAATAGTGGAAATAACCCAAATATTCATCACCTGCTAAGTGGGTAAATATTACACATCCATAAATGAAAAACTACTCAGTAATAAAAAGGAACAAACTAGAAATATTTATAATAATGTAAATGAATCTCAGAAGCATTATCTCAGTGAAAGAAGTCAGACTCAGTCTGTGTTTATGACTTTCTGGAAAAGGTAAAACTGTAGAGACAAAAAACAGATTAGTGTTAGCAGGGGCTGTGATTGAGAGGAAGGGATTAACTGCAGTGGGGCATAAGGGAAATTTAGGGGGTGGTGGAAATGTTCTCTGTTATTTCTAGTGGCTGTTACACAACTGTATATGTTGTCAAAATATAGAACAATACACACAAAAAATAAATTTTACTGTATATAGGTTCAATTAAGCTGACTTTTAAAACCACCTGTTTTTTATTCTCCATTATTGTCTTTCTGAGGAACACAACATTAAATTTTTTAATACTTTCAATTTAATTTTCACACTATTAAAAGTAGAAGGAAGTTCGTTTCTAGACCTGAAGATCAAAATGCCTGCATTCTTTTTTGCCATAATCCTATGGCCCAGATATAAAGTCATTGAGTCCATTTAACATGAATGAGAACCAGAAAGAAATGTCAATGCCATGCTTCTGGGTCATCAAGAAGAATAAATAGGGAATGGGAGATGAAATGCAGAAAAATCGAGTCTGCAGGAAATTAACCAGCTGTCAACCTACAGAGCAGGAAGAGGTAGTAGTGAGGCCCAGTTCAGGAGGAAAAGTGATTTTCAGCTTATCTCTGGACTCACCATGGAAAGCACTTTCAGTCCTTTGCATCCTAGACTCCCAAGCAATTGGATCCTTTGAGAAATTGTGACAGAACGTTTATATTTAGATGAAAACAAAATAATTCCAAATCTGTTAAATCAGTTTACAGAAAGGAGCTGGTTTTTTACCCTCACACTTTTCATAGTGCTCAGCAACTACTGGGAACAAAACAAATATTTGAAGAATTAATGAATGAATATACTACAACTTGCTGAAGGGCAGAACAATTTTCTATTAAATTAAAAACTCTAAAGGATAATGTAATATGACTATTGTTCTGTCCATTATTACTTCAATAGTTCTAGAGAAAACCGTATTTCATTCTTTATTGTGTGCTTCTTCTGAACAAGTCCTCGTCAAAAGAGTTTGCTCCAGTGTTTTCAGGGTTTTAAAAGATAGAATAGATCTAAATAGAGTCAATGTAGACCTCAGCAATTGAATATACAATTTCAGCAAAGTATGTCCTTTGCAGTTTGAGCCCACTAAAGCTGCTACATGGATCATATAATTGATTTGTGGCACATTCTGCCTGCATCTACCCAATGGTTTATTAAAATAGAATAGACAAATGCCAATAAAATGAAAAGCTCCACTGAGAATTGACCAAACCACATTGCTTTCTTCACACCTAAGGTATTCCAACCAATAGTAATTTCACAGCAGCTCTCTGTAGTACCAGATACAGAGCTCTGTAATCAGGAGTCCACAATACAAGTAAGTCTTTCCCTAAAGCACAACAAAGAAATGGGTTTATGAAATCACCGTTAAATATAATAGAACACTGGAGAGATGAGAACAGAGGAAAGATGAAATGATGAACACAACACATAAGAACCAATTAAAAATGTACCATCTCTGCAGGAAAGCACCCGTGTGTTGATAAAGCTCTTTATGAATATTAGGTACTGTAGCATAAGATGATTAGAACTGAGAGCCTCAAAAATCTGTGGCCAAAAGAGATTCAATTATCAAAGAAGGATACCTAAAAATAGATTAAATGGTATAATCAGCACCCCAATTTATCATTATTATCCCAGTTTGGAGTATCAGTTATCTGTAATAAGATTCAGTGTATGGTTAAGAAATAATCTTTATCCTCACTTTTCTTAATAATATAACAAATATATTTCATATGTATATGATTTCTACTTCACTACAAAAATCTGAGCATGGAGAATCAACTGTTTTAAGAAAGAATTTTTTAAATTAAATCAGAATAGGTGTTGTCCTGGGCAATTCAGTTGCTCAGGAACTGGGATAGAGTGGTGAGGGGTTAAGTGTGACAAAAGAGAAGGTGGTTAATAGCATGGTTATTTGGAGGGTGGGGGCGGAAAAGCAAAATTTAGAGACTCAGAAACTAAAGAAAATTATTTCCATAGAGAAAAAAATTCCACCACCCTTAGAGAACATTTGAACACTGAAAATATAAAAATTTCAAGACTTTGAATTAGCTTTTTTGTTGGCTTGTGTTCATTCATTCTTTGAGCAAATATTTATTCAATGCCAGTCATATACAGTGGAGTAATAGATACCAGAAATACAAAGATGAGTAAGACACAGCCCCCATAGCTTGCTACTTTAAGGACTCAAAAGGCTTTTAAACATCAAATATCTCTTACCAAATTGCATTTTGGTTAGTTGTGTGTAGAGGAATTAGCAACATTTTGTTGGATTTTCGTCAAACCCCAAAAGGATTTTTTAAAAATAGGAGAACGTTAAGGGTAAATACACCCCTAGTAGAAGCAGGAACATTACATTTTGAATTTGGCCAATAGAAAATATTTTGTGTATAAATTTAAAAAAAAAACCTGTTTTCAACTTTCATGTCCCAGCCCTTCCTTTCTTATATTATGGAACTTTATTCAGTGGCTAATAGTATTGTTCCACTGTAGCCACAACACTGAAGTTATATCTTTTTCAGAGTGCCTGGACTAGTTTCCTATATGCAAATAGGTAAACAGGCATTTCCATTGACATCAGAATAAGTTCTGGTCTCTCCTTCATTTATTGACACTTCTCCCTGTGTGTGTAAACAGGCATGTGATTAATGCTATAATCAATGCCTTGGGAATATGGTAAGATTAGGGAGATATATACAGAGAATCAATATGAACCGCATTCACTCTCTAGGCCACATGTAATTTGAATTTATTCCACATTTGATTAAGTCATTTTCCCCCAATCCCTATTTTCCTCCAACCCTTAGATGGTTACTACCTAAATATTTAACCATGGGTGAACAAACGAACCATGTGTTACTGTAGATTCTAGTTTTATCTAGAGTAATATTTGTATAAAAAAGAGATTGTGCAGATTTCTGGGAAACATGTTTTATACAAGATTTCATTCCATTTTTAGAAATTACTCATCCACTCACCACACCCACACTCAGGTTATCCAGTGATAATGGAAATTACTGATGGGTTTTCAAAGCTCACATTAGCTCCTCCCTAGCCGCCATCTCTCCCTTTCATGGAAAACATTCTTCAGACTGACAGAGACTCTGCTTTGAGCTGTGTCAAGCCTTACCCCAGAGCAGTGGTTCCAAGCATTTTTTTTTTCATGGACCAGTAAAATCTCTCTAGATGTTTTGGGAACTAAGGTAATATTGTTATCTTTTAATTCTTCAATTAAAAATTTAAAAGGCAAAAACACAGCTACAAGAATTTAAACAAAAGAATAAACCCAAAAATAAAGTTACAACCTCATAACAGATTTATACATATTATATATATAAAATGCACTTAGCTCCATGAAAAAGCTCAGAATTCTTACTTTTTTTTCATCTTGCCACAGATTGCCTTTTGGGAAAAACTACCTTTGTGCTTTGCATAGATAGGGGCTATAAAAGAACAAGTTAACCAAATATTCAATTTCTGCTGTTTATGTACCATGGCATGGGCTTATGTTTACAATGGCAGCAGAGTAGAGAAATGCAAGGAAGTGAGAAAATGTATGAATCAGCTCCATACCATCTTAGCCTTCAGAGCTATTTATTATTGCCAGTATGGTCAATACCTCACATACGCAATGAGCAGGGGAAATGCCAAGGCAAGAAGATTATTACTCAAAGTTTTCCCCAGTCAAGTTAGTGTGCAACCAGTAAACAATAGCATTTCTCTGAATTCAGGAACAATTTAAGTAAAAAGTCACTGTCAGACATTGGAGTGGATGAAAATTTTTTTTTTGTTTCTTGTTATTTGTTTTGAGACAGAGTCTCACTCTGTCACCAGGCTGGAGTGCAATGGCATGATCTCAGCCCACTGCAACCTCCAACTCTGGTTCAAGCCATTCTCCTGCCTCAGCCTCCCAAGTAGCTGGGATTACAGGCACGTGCCACCACGCCCAGCTAATTTTTGTATTTTTTTTTTTCTAAGTAGAGACAGGGTTTCACCATGTTGGCCAGGATGGTCTCAATCTCCTGACCTCATGATCCACCCGTCTCAGCCTCCCAAAGTGCTGGGATTACAGGTGTGAGCCACCACGCTTGGCCGAAAATTGTTATTAAAAGATGCAGTGTGAGTATCAAAATACAAGGGATGGCTTAGACATCTCCATCTGCTGTCAAGGCTCATGCATACCAAAAGCTTATTAAAATGACCTGCAGGAAGGTAATATAACATAAGAAAGTGGTAAAATTATCTACAGTCTTTTGCAACTAGGTTTTTTTTTTTTTTTTAATGTGAGTTACCTTGTATGCAGTTGAGAAATAAGAGATCAGTATCAGGAGACTCATATTGGTTTCAAACTCATTTATATTTTGAAGTAATTGGAGTAAGTTTTCTTACAGGCAAAGATAAAGCCTTGCTAAATGTGAAGGTCTTAGGAATAAAAACTAAAAATCTACAAACATGCTTTCCTTTAGTGCAAATAGTGGCTGTTCCAATGGCTTAAAGAATTGCTGGTTTTCTACCATGTTAAGCTCTTTAGCAAAAGTGGAAGTCCAGATGGTGAAACCACAAAGATATTTCCCCTATATTAACATGACAGACTGATGAAAAAGGCAGCATCCTAGATCATATTTTCAATTTAGCTCAAAATGTTCTATTTTAGAAGCAACTGTCCTCCAAGACCCATATCTCAAAGGAGAAACACAAGCCCCAGGATCTAGGCTGCAAAGAGTGTACCACTGTAGCTAGATGCAGAAGCTGGAAGAATGTTAACTGTACTAGCCACTTTACTATGATGTTTATTGGTTTTGTTAGTGCTTGGTTCAAAGTTCCATAGGCTTTGAGTCATCTGCCCCCAAATCTGTTTTTTCCACAAGCCCTGATATTTTTAGCATACAATTTTGTAGAACTATGGTTGTAGCTAAAACGCCTGTATTTTATTTTCACACAGCAGCCAAAGCACCTGTGTGACCCAGAGAAGGGTAGTGTCCTGGAGAGGGGTCTTAGAAGGTTGTTAGAAGGAATTGTAATTGGGTTTGCAGCGGCATCTAGAGGAAATGGCTCCTGATGTGATCTGTTTCTTGGCATTAAAGGGTCTCTGGCTTGGAGAAAGGCAATGCATCAAGCTATAGTAATTTAATGGGAAAGGAGAGAAAAAAAACAGTAAAGAATATTTAGTTCCCTCATTTCTAATTATGTGTTCCTTCTGTAATCTTCTAATCCAGGGTTGGTATATAGAATTCCTCTCAAATGCCAACTCCAATTGACTGGTGGTGGCTGCCTGAGGCACGGAAGAGAGAAGGATGCTGAGGCCCTGTTGGGCTTCCTGGAAAGAATGCCACAATTGATTAGTGATGTCTGTCAGGAGTTGCTGCACCTGTGTCACCCCCATAATCTGTGATACAGTTGGGGAAATTTGCCCAGCAAGATGAATGATCTGGGAAGACAACCAGACTTGGTTCTGGAATTGGTACATTTACCTTCCTTTGAAAATGAACAAATGGATTCTTAGATAACCAGTATATCTCTGTCAGTTTCACCTGACGCTGCTCATTTGGGTGAGCTGAGAAAGTGGAGTGTTTAAACCAGCAATGCTAAAGACATTAGAAGTCCTAACAGCAACAATGCTACTTAACTGAAAAAGCACCGCTTAAAGGATCCTACCATTCATTATCTTTTGACTTGTCATGCATTGAGAAACTGTAGAGTATTTACTGTCCCTCTCCCCTCACCTTACTTAGTACTTGCCATATTTCTTCAACTATAAGATGCCACTCCATCAGTATACACCAGGAGATAGTCAAGATGTAGTTTTCACATGTGTGAACTTGGTTATTTCTGGTGCTCTTGGAGTGGGCAGCTGTAACTTCTTGATATTTAAACTAACAAATTACTTAAGAACAATTTGAGGAAAGAATATGAGGTCTAGTTGCTGTCTGAAAACCTTTCTTTCCCAGTGAAGAGAAAAAAGCATAATCCATACTTGGAGAACAGTGTCAGCAGCTCAGAAGAAAACCCAAGAAAAAATAATTCAGTGGAACATCCTTGTAAGAAATGCCACATTGCCAGTGTTTTAGACAGCACAGAGGACAGACTGCATAGGAAGTGCATGGATATCAGACATCAGCATGTCTGAGTTAAAGAGTGGTTCGGAGAAGTCCATCTCTAAATGCGAGCCTTTAGAATGGCTTCACCAATGTATTTCTCTTTTATTTCCTTTTTATGTTTGCAAAAGATACATGTAGATAAATCTGAAAGAACTTTTCTATTAAGTATAAAATAAAGTTTTGTGTCATGTTGACACCATTTTTTCTTTCTCATTGGTACATAAAATATTGTTGTGTTTTATGGTGCCTTAGATTCAATGAAATGTGGCATAATTTGCATTCATGGTGTAAGTGAGGAAATGTAGCAGGAAAAACTTGATTATTCATTGTCCAGTCTCCCTGATCACATTAGTTTCATATCTAGAATTAGAATTTATAAAACCTTAATTCTTGCCTACCCACTTGAATGTCACCTGTTGCCATGTTTCAGAAAGGTTTGTTTAAGTAACCAAATTATGGGCTGGATGGCTGAATAGGTCAGCCTAAAATAAAGCCACTCTATAGGCCAGACAAATGACTGTTCTCTATGGGGAAATGTCTCCTAGTCCAGGGACGCACTGTAGCTTTAGCATAGATATGAAAGGAAGAATGGACATTATTTGAATTATTTTGCAAATAATCAACTATCATTTTGTGAAAATACTCAGCCTACTTGTCTGCCTACCTCTTTCCTTTCATCTTTAATTTCATTTTCACACCAAAAGCACTTTTTTGTGTGAACTTTTACAATTAGTAATCATGATGCAAAGAAACTATTAGGCTGAACCATATACAAATTGACAATATTTTCCCATTTTTGACCGACGGAATCAGCAAGTTTATGTGGTTCAACTTAATACATGACAGGAGACAGTCATTAAAGCAGTGCACAGTCTGAGGCCAGAGGACACCCCTTCATTCATCATTATTAAGAGTCTTCTAAATACAATAGTTCCTCCATTTGAGCTTCTCCTCAGCTATATGGGGAGCCTCTGAATAATACTTTTTGTGTAGGTTTTCTGTCAAGAACTTCATTTGATCAACTGTGTACAATATCTTTTTTTAACACAATAAACATTTATTGCACACTTTCATATGGTCCAGGCACTGTTCTCAGCCTTGGATACAAAGATCAGTGAGTCAGAGTCCCTATTCTTAGAAGCTTGCAGTCTAGGAGGAGAGGAGACAGGCATGGACATCATTACAGTGCAAAATAGCAAGTAATATAATAGATAGAAATAACATGCTGAAAAGGCATTGACCTTGCCTGGCTGAGCAACAATGCCTCAGAGCAGGTGATGTTTATACTGAGTCTTGAAGGATGAGCAATTTACTTGTCAGCAAAGAGGAGGAATAATGCAACATCACCCAGCAAAATGGTTTGTTCCAAGCCACAGAAGTACAAGAAAAAGAACCTGAGTTTGAATATAGATAGGACAAAGGCGAGAGAAGTGGCAAGGACAAGGGTGACAAAGGTGAGAGAAGTGGCACGAGGTGAGATTTTAATGGAAGTAAGATCCTGGTTATGAAGAGCTCTCCATGAGGGGCTTTGGCGTTTGCATTTTATATAACAAAACACATTGACATGGGTTTAAATTGCTTAGAAATAAAACCACTTCTTCAGCTTTATTTATATACCCAGTCCAGTTATCGCCTAAGTTTATAGAAACATTGCATTTGCTACTCTAGAGCAGGCAAGAGTTCTTTCTGACCAGCCCTGGCACACATGTGAGCCAAAGCAACCTGGATTTGCAAGGGGTTGTTTCAGCCCTGACATCTCTCTTAAACACAGTCATTGAGCTGTGGTTCCTCACTGTGGCTGAAAGCATAGCCAAAGGCTGCATTATTGTGAGATTGTGGCTTTGACAATTACGTGCTCCTCCACTGCAGGGCTCTTACTTTACATGGGTGAAGGAGCTTGCCAATACATGCTCCATGTTTTCATATTTTCCTCATTGGGTAATTGCAAAATGGGTGATTCCACCTAAATGCAGTGAGATTGATTTCATCCAAACTGCCGACTGGCTAATCAGTGGCCCAGTTTTCCAGCCATGTGATCTGGCATCTGGCATTTACCACTCATCAAATTAAATTACACAGCACCAATAAATTACCACCTCATGACTGGGCAAAACCTTTTTCCTTAAACTCCTTCCTGGTTAATACTTGTGCAATGTTTAATAGTGCCACAGTTTATCTATACAGGGATGTCAACAGGAATGTATCAAAATTTTACCACAAATGGAGATTTATGTATATGCAAATTATACATAGACACACACATATATGTATAGATATGAATATGTGTGAATGCTTTATTCTATTGATGTGAATTTTCCAGATGCCTAAAGCTAAGTGACTAATCAAAAATTTTTGTTTTGTTTTACTTCATCGAGTCTTTATGGAAATATTTCTGAAAGTGCTGGAAATGTAAGTTCTGGAGTCAGCCTGCTATGTTCGAATCCCTGTTTCTTTATCTACTGACTTTCCGTCTTTGGGCAAGTAGTAATCTTTCTGAGCCTCAACTTTCTTATGTATAAAATAAGAACAATAGTAACCACCTCATAGGGTTGCTATGTGAATTAAATGGGGTGTGCATATACAGCATTTGATAGGCAGTGGACATTCAAGAAATGCTAGCAATGAATATTTTATGCATATTAGAATTGCTTCTTGAAAGCTGGGGCCATCATGGTGAACATTAATGATTGTAGGACAACTAATAACTGATGCCCTCAGCTCCTATTAAGAGCCAGAAAGTTATTTGCCTCTCCATTTAATTGCCCCAGTCTGCCAGGATTCTTCCCAGTCTTGTCTGGGTTTTGAGTTTTTATATAGCATCCCAATATGGTTTGGCTCTGTGTCCCCATCCAAGTCTCATCTTGAACTGTAATCCCCATAATTCCCATGTGTTGAGGGAGGTACCTGGTGGGAGGTGATTGGATCATGTTGGCAGTTTCCGCTATTCTGTGCTCATGATAGTGAGTGAGTTTTCATGAGATCTGATGGTTTTGTAAGTGTTTGACAGTTCCTCCTTCACATGCTCTCTCTCTCTTGCCTGCTGCCATGTAAGACGTGCCTGCTTTCCTTCTGCCATGATTATAAGTTTCTCGAGGCCTCCTCAGCCATTTGGAACTGTGAGTCAATTAAACCTCTTTTCTTTATAAATTACCCAGTCTCAGGGAAGTTCTTAATAGCAGTGTGAGAATGAACTAATACATATCCCTTGCTATTAGACTATTGGTTATCACATTCTGAAATCACTAATATCTAGAATCCTAGCCGTTTTCTTCTTCCTGTAGTGTTTTACTGACAAATTAAATAATCCAACTTGATAACATTCTATCTAAAGCAGGTTAAAAGCTCTAATTGATCACCCAAGTCTGTGCTTCAGTGACTGCACTATGTGCTGCCTCTTTTAGCCACTCAAAGATCTTGTCTGCTGATTTCAAGATTATCAGCTATGTTTGTGATAGATGATGTTGCTGTAAGAGACCTCCAGAAACATGAGAGGATACTCTTAATATTTCACTTTTGTATCTCAGTGACACAGGTCTACAGAGGCCCATGTCTTTAGAGGTTCAACAGGGAAATAATAGTACCATCTCTTTTAAAAAAGCAAATATAACATATAAATAAAAAATATCTATGGCAAACTTTTTCTGCTTTAAGAAAACTGCAGGCTCTGTAAGCCAGGCATGGTGGCTTATGCCTGTAATCCCAACACTTTGGGAAGCCAAGACAGGAGAATAGCTTGAGGCCAGGAGTTCAAGACCAGCCTGGGCAACATAGTGAGACCCCATCTCTAAATTTTTTTTTAATTAGTCAGGCATGGTGGTGTGCACTTACAGTCCTAGCTACCAGGAAGCTAAGGCAGGAGAATCTCTTGGCCTAGGAGTTCAAGAGTGCAGTGAGCTATGATCATGCCATGGCACTTCAGCCTGGGCAACAGAGCAAGACCCTATCTCTAGAAGAAAAAAAAAAACTGTAAGGGAATATACTGACTCAGCCTATCTAGAACAAAGATCTCAGAACCATAATTTAAATAGAATTTATTACATTTCTTGATTTTTTTTTCCTGATTTTTAAATGAGTAAATCCTCATGGGCCTTACTCTATTACTATCCATGAAAACACTGTATAAGAGAGACTAGAACTGTCATATTGTCATCCAGGTGAATGGAGCCCCCTGAAGTTGTACAGTGAAGCAGTCCCAAGTGAGATGGCCATTACAACAAGTTTTCATATTCTGGTTTTTTAGAGGGTTTTTGGTGTTTCAGTGGCCAAATCATCTCAGTGTCCAACATAACTACATTCACCTCCCACTCATTCTCCTTACTGCAAATGCTTATTAGCCATCATCCATCCAAATTTTGAGAATATTTTCTCCAGAAAAACAATCTCTGTGTCTTTTTTCATACTTTCAGATATGAAAATAAAAAGCTGTTTAAAAAGACTGCTTTGGGGTCAGTCTACTCTCAGGACTGAAATTTCCTTAAGGACAAGGTTGTGAAATTTTAAAATTCTCCTGCTCCAATGTTCAGCATGGAGCCTGGGCCAGAACAGCGCTCAGGAAATATGTGAGGAAGAAGGAACCATGGGATGAGGAGTAGTGGAGAGAAACTGAAGAAGGATGTATTGGTCAATTTGGGCTGCTATAGCAAAATACCATAGAGTGGGTGGCTGATAAACAGAAATTTCTTTCTGGCAGTTCTGGGGTCTGGGAAGAGCAAGATCAAGGCACTGGCAGATCCAGTGTCTGGTGAGAGCCCTCATTCTCATAGATGGCACCTCTGGCTGTGTCCTCACATGGTGGAAAGGACCAACAAGCTTCCTTGGGCCTGTTTTATAAGGAGCTGATTCCATTCATGAGGAGTTTGCCCATGATCTAATCACCTCCCAAAATGCCCCACCTTCTAATATCATCACCTCGGGGGTTAGGACTTCAACATATGAATTTCAGGGGGATAAACCTTCAGACTATAGCCCCTACTAATTTTGAAGTTCAGCCCACTTCTGATTACCTTATCTAATAACTGAAAATTTAAACATTTAAGAATATAAATATAAACACTTGAACTGGGGTTGAGGGGCGTTTAGTGAGTCTTGGTTTGTTTTTTGTTTCTTGTGTGTGCATTTTTTTTGTTTGTTTGGTGCTTCTTGTGAGAAATCTTGATTTCTCCAGGTAGACTAACCTTTTCCAGGTGGGTGTTGCCATGACAGCACAATAGAGCACAGAATGTCAATTGCAATCCTCTTTTTACTTTTTCAGGTTACAAATGCTGCTGCCAACTGTCCTGGCCAAATGACTCTGCATCACAAACCTTTCCTTGCATGTGGAGGGGATGGATTTACTCAGTCCAACTTTGATGGCTGCATCACTTCTGCCCTATGTGTTCTGGAAGCTTTAAAGAATTATATTTAGTGCCTATATCCTTATTCTCTACATGTGTATTGGGTTTTTATTTTCACAATTTTCTGTTATTGATTATTTTGTTTTCTATTTTGCTAAGAAAAATTACTGGAAAATTGTTCTTCACTTATTATCATTTTTCATGTGGAGTATAAAATCAATTTTGTAATTTTGATAGTTACAACCCATGCTAGAATGGAAATTCCTCACACCTTGCACCTTCCCTACTTTTCTGAATTGCTATGACTACTCCTTGTTGGAGGAAAAGTGGTACTTAAAAAATAACAAACGACTCTCTCAAAAAAATTACATTAAATCACAATAACAGTTTGTGTGCCAAAAACTTGATTATCCTTATGAAAATTTCAATTCTGAATAAAGAATAATCACATTATCAAAGCCCCATCTTAAGTCTTCGGATGTGTCCTTGAATCAATATTTTTGCAAATTATACAAAACAAGATTTTTCCAAAATGTAGGTAACAGAGTGTAATTCTTATTTCTCATTTATCCCCCAAGTTATTAAGTGATCCTGAATTGTAGGTCATATATGTCATCATCTTAGTGTGGAGGGCAACTTGACTGATAAAGAGACCTTCCTTCAGATTTTCAGAAAGTATAAGATTCCACATGATTTTCCCAGCCACACAGTACTTTTTAACTTTCAAACAAATTCCAGTCCTAATATGAAAGATAAAAATTAAATAGAAACAGAGAGAAAGTATATCGATCCTTACCTTTTGCTATATTTTATAGCTGTTGCTGTTACTTTATGGGTTCTCCAGTATGTGCTGTGGCATTTAGACTGTGTCGAGTTTAATGAATTTAACACAACAAAAAATTTACTGAACCAGAAAATAGATGCACTTAAAATAGTTCAATATTTGCCAAGTTGGTGGTTCAGCATATCACCCACATGCTTCAGTGACCTGACCCCACGACTTGCTAGCTGGAGAGAAATCAATCTCCAGCCTTCCAAACCAGCTACCTGTTGCTAATTTGAAAAGCAAAATGATGAGTTCTATTTCAGCATTTTGAAAGGAGAAAAATCATTGCAGCCTCTCAAACTAACAAAAGTTCAACAAAAGACTTCTTACTGTAATAGTGTTTAAAGTTTCACACTTACATGTCCACTGTCATACATACACATACACAGGCACAGGCAGAACTTGCTTCTATAGCTGCAAAGTGGGTTTTATGACCCTATAGCATATTATTATATGTTTCCTCTTAGCAATAAATTGGTGAAAAACTTAAATGCCAACATGTGGTTAATGTCACTTATTTTGAAAGCAGAGGGAGGAAGAAGGAAATTTGTAGTCTCTATAAAATGATGAAAAATAGTGATTTTTTGTTATTTTCGCCCATATTTGACTAACATTTGTCTTTATTTATATTTTTTAAATTTTAAATGTAGGGATACATATACAGGTTTGTTATATAGGTAAACTTGTGTGACAGAGATTTGTTGTACGGATTATTTTGTCACCCAGGAGTTAAGCCTAGTACCCATTAGTTATTTTTCCTGATCCTCTCCTCCCTCCCACCCTCTACTCTCAGGTAGGCCCCACTTTCTGTTGTCCCCTGTATGTGTCCATATGTTCTTATCATTTAGCTCCCTCTTGTTAGTGAGAACCTGTGGTATTTGGTTTTCTGTTCCCTCATTAGTTTGTTAAAGATAATGGCCTCCAGCTCCATCCATGTTCCTGCCAAGGACATGATCTCATTCTTTTTTATGGGTGCATCATATTCCATGCTATGTATGTACCACATTTTCTTTATCCATATTCTACCATATTTACCCTTAAAATATGGTAGAAAGGTCATTCAAATTAACTATTTTGTTTTTAACAAATATAATTCAGGAGCCATTTGACTGAAAGCACCCTGAACCTTTAAAAACAATGCTATATTTGTTTTATGAATTTATGTCCTCCAAAGGAGGGGGAGGGAATTTGTAAAGCTGGGATGGGTTGCTTGGAGACCGTACTCCTCTAAGCCATTACTAATGACTTTTAATATCTATTCTTTCTAACTCTGCATCTGTTTTTATAAGACTATGGCAATATGAGGAAAAACCCTACTTGATATGTAGATCATTGTTACTTTGCTATTTTAATTATTTTGAAAACTTATTTTACATTTAGATTTTCTTTCAATTCTTCCCCATTAGAAATGAAATGGTAGAAATATCTCCTCCTGGAAGCCATCCCAGACGGCCATAAAATTCAGCTGGCCAGGATGCTCTGAGAGACACAAGGCTAAGATATCAAACTCCCCTGGGAGATGGGAGTCAGCACCAGGTAGAACAGTGGCCAAGGTGTATGTATGTTAGCCCCACGGGGCCACACATCATCACAGTATTTCCAAACAAGAACTTTTATTAATCAAGCCAGCCAAGGAAAGCTGTTCTGTTTTGAAAGGAGCGTATTCAAGTGAGAAACGGCTTGAGCAGTGGGGTGATTTAATACTTGTTAGCTGATAAATATAGCCTTTGCCAGAATAAAACTTTATGATGCAGTGTTGAAAAGCTTAATTACTAAACTGTCTATGCACGTCTTGCTCAGGCAGCAAGGGTGACAAATTATAGCAGTGAAATAGTATTTTTCACCTTTGGCATTTCTGAAGGAGAAGAGTATGTCTAAAAACATCAAGAAAGCAGCAGTAATCCCAGACCAGATATTACTGGGGGGAGGGCGGGGAGGAAGACACTTCGTTGAGTCATCAAGCCTTCTGTGCAAAATGCCATGGTCCCCACCCCCCGCCTACCCACTACCTTGTTAACTGAAGAGAACAGGGTCAATTTTACATTTTTCTGGCATTTTATACTCATCCAAGCGTGTGTGTGTGTGTGTGTGTGTGTGTGTGTGTGTGTGTGTGTGTGTGTATTTTCACTTTTCATCCTCCTAACACCTCTGTGAAATAAGCAGAGCAGAGAATTCTTATTTACATTTAACAAGTGAGGAAACCAAGGCACAGATCTTGGCCAACCAGGGTCACGTAATGTTATTCCAGGACAAGAGCCCAAGCCCCTCATGACCCGTTTCTATTTACAGGCACCATGCTGCTGCCAGATGAACATGCTAATTAAAACTGAACTGAAATATTAGTTGGGGGTACAGTCCGCATCATGTGGTCTTCTTATTGATGTTTCATTTCAGAGAGTTAACACTAATCCTGATGTGATATATACAGGAGTCTAATATGGGATAAAGTCTCTGTAAGTACTGGCTAAGTGATTCATACTCCTGTTACTTTCATTTGCTGGTTTATTTCCTTCTTTGGGGGGTACTTGCTGTGAGAAATAGCTGCATGCTAATGACACTGAATTTCAACCCAGCTGTAGCTGGTTACAGTACAGACTCACCGTGCGTTCATCCTTTCCATCTGATTCCTCTTTGTTTCTTTGTTCCCCTTGTTTTGCTCTCTTCTTTTCTTCCAGTTTCTGCCATTTCTTCCTCCCCTTCTATTTTTTTTCCTGCCTCTTCTCCTATGCCTAATTCTACATTCTCAGAAAAACCGGGAATATGAATGCAATCACCTTATGATTCATAGTATTTGTACTTCCAGGTTTTAATATATCAGGGTTTTGTTGTGGCTGTTCTTAAAATGTAAAGCTGGAAGCCATCCCAGAGGGATGATCCTGTTTGTTATTCAAGTTGATTGGACAACCCTTATGTTGATTTTCGAAAGTGATGCAAGAATTTAAAACTGGCCATAGCTTTCAGGGATCTCAGTGCTAATAAACTAAAACATGACTTGTATGGTTTCTTTACACCAATTCTTTACTCTTCCTGTCACACGTGTGCAAAGCCTGGGACCAGGCTGCGTAGTGTACACAATGGAATATAATCAGCAATCCCCACCCAGAGATTCTACTTAGGAGAAGACAAGACCCCTGGAGTGGGAGACAGAGTAGAGGTACATGTTGACAAGGTCACAGGCAGTGAATAAGATGCTCTAATTCGTGAAGCTAGGGAGTCCTAAGAGAAATGTTTCCTTTGGGGAGAAAGGATCCCTGAACAAATACAGAGACGCCTCAGTCAAATACATCCAGCAATATCCCTCCCCTCCACACCATACCTGGGTTGACCTGGCTGACTTCAGAATCCAAACTGCATATTAGTGTGCTCAGCACAAATAAGTTCTTACTGTGCAGAAAGCTCAGCAGAACAGAGAAAGAGGTCTGTGGCAGGAGAAAAAAGTCTCAGCAAACATCAGATGATCTGGTGCAGGACCAAACTGCTGTATTTCAGTCTGGAATATATTTGTGTTTTAGCCAGTATCATCTGACCAGGTAAACCAAGGAAGGTAGAATGGTAGTATGACTCACGTTTCCTTCTCAATAGACAGTAATTATTGTCCACTCAACAGTTCACAGCAGAATCCCACAAAAGAGCCTGCTAAGGAGAAGGAATCTCTAAGGGGTTGTTAATGTAAAAGGCTGGTTGAATTATGGAACCCTGTGGAATATCTAAGCTTAGAGAGGTTTGGAAACCATTTAGACCAGTTCTTAACCATCTTGGATTTTGAACCTGTTTAAGAAGCTATAGAAAGCTATGGATCTCCTAATAACAACAACAAAGACAACTATGCATATGAGCACATAGAATTTGCATACCATTTAATGCCTGCTGACCAGCTGCTTGTTTTTGTAAATAAAGTTTTATTGGAACACAGCCTCACCCATTCATTTGTGTATTACCTGTGACTGTTTTGCACTACAGCAGTAGAGATAAGTGTTTTTGACAGAGACCATATGGCCTGCAAAATCTAAAATAGTTACTATGTAGTCCTTTAAGAAAATGTTTACTGACCCCTGTTTTAGGTTCAACCCCTCCCCCCACACATCTGTCTGTAGACACTCAGGGGTCCAAGGAGAACCTCTAAATCTTAAACCTATCACTTTACGTAAATATGATCTTATCTTTGATCCACACGTCTGGTCCATTGTTCCTTGATCCTATGCCACGTTGTAAATCCCTTAAGGCAAGCCTATAACTTTGCAGTTAAGAACACATCATCTGCAGTTAGATCTGCGCTTTAATCTAAAGTTTGCCCCTCATTGTGTGACCTTGATGCAGTTAAACAATCTCACTTAGCTTCCTTTGTCATCGGCAAAATGAGTTATTGATAGCTACCTCATAAGATTGTTGTGAGGCTTACGTTCATATAAAACCTTAAGAGAGTGCTGAACACATAGTAAGTACTTAGTAAATAATAACAATGATGATGTTGATCATAAAGGGGGGAGGAGGAGAGGAGAGGGGAGGAAGAGTTTAACCCGGTGCCTCTGAGGCCTCTGTGAAGGCCAATTTCCTCTGTAGTCACATAGGACACAGGAGAATTGATGATAAGGAGAGTTAGTGGATAGACAGCAAAACATGGTGAAACCCAGAAGCTTAAAAGCTCTAGGTTGCTTCAAAACCATGAGACAGAATAGCAGTCAGTGTCTCCTGGTGACCAGCTCTGGGCCACTTTCTGTTTTCCAACTACAGTGAGTAAGTAGACAGCTTACCTGGGGAAAAGGTGGTTTGCTCTAATGTAGTCCTTGGAAAGACACTAGGAAAGGTCATTACCAGGAGTAGTGATGGTATAAAATAGAAGCATTCTCTGCAAGAACGTTGTCTTTTTTCTTAGCAACCATATGTGCTGAATGCAAAGAATTGCACGCTTGGATTGGATTCTGCTGAAGATTAGTGAATCTCCGAAACACTGTGAAAACTAGGAGTGAGTTATTTCACACTCCTAAGTGTTTGGCTAAGTATGCAGATTCATTTCCTGTCCCTGGCCTTCATTTTAAACAGCTCAATTCCTGGTGGGGTCGGTGACATCCTGAATATGCCACTTACTAGATGTATGATCTTGGTCCAATTCCTTTGTCTCTGTCTCGAGCCGCAGGGCCCTCGTCTATGAAATGTGGATACAATTTTACCTACTGTAGGATTATTCTGAGGGTTATAGTATGTACATGCAAAGTGTAAGCATTGTGTCCTGCGTAGAGAAAACACTCCATAAATGCTGGCCATTATTATTACTATTATAATAGTAAAATATGATTTAGGAAAATAATCCCCTTTGATAGCCGTCACTACATCTATAGGTAGCTTTAGATCTAGCTAGGAAGCCACTTCAGTATTTGTAGAACTCACTGGTGACTGTATTTAAGTGCCACCTTAAGGTAGGCCTCTTCAAAAATTCTTACTGACTCTTGAATGAATAAATGCTGTCTGTGGTTTGTGGCTGTGCTCTTTCAGAGACCTTGCATGGCACTGTGTTCTCCCCCAGCCGATCTAGCCTCCCCACTCTTGTGATACTTACCCCATGTGTACTTACTTGTTCAATATCTGCTTTCTGCCAAAATTGCAATAGCCACAAAAGTGGGACCTGGCACATAGGAGTTACTCAGTAAATATCTGTTGATCCAAAGAATGAATGAATGAACTTAACTAATTAACTTTTTTTATTCTAATATTAGTAAGTACCAAAGGAAAATCTTGCTGACACAGAATTATCTCACAGAACAAAAATGTACTAACCTCATCCTTAACAGAGGCAATAATTACAATAGTATCTATATTTGCTTTATGTGGTTTCTATTCAAAGTCATTAGGTGATTTCAGAAAGTCTTTACTTTATACTACATCCCATTATATTTTGGAAGAGGTTGGGGGAAGGCGGGAGAGTTGCTCTACCATTAGAAATATGGTACTTAAAATGGGCCATCTCTATGTAGTTGGTATGTTGTGTATGCACATGTGTGTGCTAGCGTGGGAGAGGGGAGGGGAATGGTGCTGTCCTTGTGCAAACAATCAACATAGCTTCTGTAGCAGTGTATTCTGTTATTGTGATTTTATCACCTACCAATGACATGTAAGCAGGGTTTATTGACTGACATTCTTATTTTTTCGATACTTTTTAAATTGAATTGCTCTAAAGGTGGCAAGAGTTAGGCCTAGAGTTAGTTGCACCCACTTCTGCAAGACAGTTGCCAACCTCAAACTTGCACCATATATTTTAACCATTACAATAAGCCATGTTTATTTATCCTTCGGAAAATAATCAAAACTATTTTCTGTGAACCAAAAGACTGTCAGAAAACTGAATGTTAGTGATACAGAGACCGTTGTGGAGAAAAAAAAAATTGGCAAGCATCACCTAATTGAGAAATTGAGATGTTGACCATTATGGCTGAACAGCACTCTAACCAATTAGCTCTATATTATAGGAAAGAGCTACAAGAATGTGCCTAGAAGCAGGAAACCCATTCATTATGTGCCTAAAATCAGGAAACCCACTCACTAAATAAACCATTTTAACTATTCATACTAAGAAATGTTAATAGTTGAAACAATAAAAACTTTATAATTATTTCAACAGATGCTGAAAATTTTTGACAAATCTGCTAAAATTTGTGAAAAGTTAAATTTGGCAAACTTTAATATACATTGCTGCTAAAACATGATAAATTTAGAAACGGGATACTACCTTAAAGGAATAAGGACTTCTATTTTAAAACTATAAAAAACATTAAATTAAGAATAAATCACTAGAACCATCTATATTAAATTAGGGAGAAGTCAAAGATTCTTACATCAATGTTCTAAAATTTCTAGGGTATGCATTAAGGCATGGAAAATATTTAAGGGGTGTGAATGTTGGGAAACAGAAGGCAAAGTGGTTACAAATTGTGTTAATATGATTATACTCCTAGAAAACTCAGGTGCACCAACTTTTAGATTGATGAGAAATAAGTAGAGTGGCTGAATTACAAACATTCAAAGGTCAATAACTCTTCTGTATGCCAAAATAATCAAAGCAAATGTATCTTATATATAATGTTGTTAACAAAAAATGGAATGCAAAGGACTATCTTTTTTTTTCTTTTATTATACTTTAAGTTCTAGGGTACCTGTGCACAACGTGCAGATTTGTTACATAGGTATACATGTGCCATGTTGGTTTGCTGCACCCATCAACTCGTCATCCACATTAGGCATTTCTCCCAATGCTATCCCTCCCCCAACCCCCCACCTCCCCGGCAGGCACCCTGGTTTGCAATGCTCCCCGCCCTGTGTCCAAGTGTTCTTATTGTTCAATTCCCACCTATGAGTGAGAACATGCAGTGTTTGGTTTTCTGTCCTTGTGATAGTTTCTGAGAATGATGGTTTCCAGCTTCATCCATGTCCCTGCAAAGGACATGAACTTACCCTTTTTTATGGCTGCATAATATTCCATAGTGTATATGTGCCACATTTTCTTAATCCAGTCTATCATTGATGGACATTTGGGTTGGTTCCAAGTCTTTGCTATTGTGAATAGTGCCACAGTAAACATACGTGTGCATGTGTCTTTATAGTAGCATGGTTTATAATCAACAAAGGACTATCGTTAGGATCCAGAATTTATGCAAGGAAATATTTCCAAAATTTTATGGAGTGACATTTTGAAACATTTGAACAAGGGAGGATATACCATGTCCCTAGAGGGAAATTGCAAATATTATGAATTTTTTCCATTATCCCCTGATTAATTTATAGGTTGCACAAAATCACAGTGGGATTTCGTTAACCTGAAAAAATAATTTTAAGTCCATCTGGAAACAAATTAACAGGTAAAAATAACTAACAAGTTTGAGCAAGAAGGTAGTAAGTACCTTCCTGCAAAATGGCACTTTCATCTGCTATTATGACATACGATAAAATTAGATAAATAAGCAGTTTACTGTTGATTCAGGAATTGATACAAATCAGTGGAAATAATAACTATAAAATAGCCCTTTAATGTGATAACTGAATCAATACAAAACCAATGAGAAAGCAATAATTATTTAACAAATAATTTGAGGAAAATTAGCAAGGTATTTAGTTTTAGAAAAAAATCAAATGTGATTCTACCGTATATTACTATAATTTCCAGATGGATTAAAGGGATAAATATAAACAAATATATAATACATGCCTCCCCCAAAACCATATAGAGGAGAATATAGATAAATGTTTAACCTATTTCTAGGTTGCAAAAGAAGTTCTAGAAATTAACAAAAGAAATCATAAAAATACAAATTGGTCTACTTGATTATATTTTAAAACTCTTAGAAAACAAAACTAAAAGATTACAGACCAGTTAAGAAAAATACATATACAACAATTTATAATAAAAGTATGTCCTTAATGTAGAGAAAACAACAAAAGTTAAAATTTTAGCTCAATTTTTTAAGAGTTAAAAATGATACAGATAGGACTAAAGTCCATCTGTTTTATTTTTTGTTTTTTATTATTCGCATGTTTTTGTTTTGTTTTGTTATTTTTAGAGACAGTGTCTTGCTCTGTCACCTAAGCTGGAGTATAGTGGCCTGATCATGGCTCACAGCAGCCTCAAATTCCTGGGCTCAAGGGATCCTCCTGCCTCAGCCTCCCGAATAGCTGGGACTACAGGCACACACCCCTACATTAGGCTAATTTTTTTGTTGTTGTTCTAATGAGGTATTACTATGTTGCCCAAGTAAGACTCAAACTCCTGCCGTCAAGTGATCTTCTTGCCTCAGCCTCCCAAAGTGCTAGGATTACAGATGTGAGCCATTGTGCCCAACTTACATGTCTTTTTAATTGTAGTAACACCACCATATTTTCCTACTTTGATACCATATGTATGTATCCATAAATTATGGTAATGTTCTGTGCGTTTTTAATTTTACAGCATATTGTATGTATTTAGAACTTTATTCCCCCAGGGTTGTATTTTTAGTATTTTTCCATGTCGATATACATAGATATATTTCGTTGATTTTTACTACTGTACACTCTTCCATTTTATGAATATATCACAATTTATTTGTCCATTTCCCTACTGATAGACATCAGGTTGCTCTAAATTTTTACTGTTGCAACATTGTTGCAATAAATATGTTTGCACATTTCTCTTTTTACCCTTGTGCAAGAGTTTTTATAAGGCAAAATGTTAAAATGTATTAAAACTGAGACCTGCATTCAAAGGAATATGTTAATTTTTTATATATTCTATATGTTTTAAATAATAATTTGAAGATTAATAGAAGATAACAATTATGAAGAGTATTTTAAAGCCAACTGATAGAATTTTTTATAACTGAAATAAGTGGGACAAGGTTAGGATAAAGAATGTAAAATGGGGGGTCCTGCTTGGTGGCAGCTCCTCAAAAAGTTAGCAAGACCACCTATAGAGCCAGAACCCTCCCCATTCCAGGTCTATATATGTTCCGTGAAAGCAAAGAACCACTATTAGTGTAGACAAGGTGTCAGAGGCCATTGTGTTGGGTGGCACTGGGGTTGAAGGATATTCCTTTGATTTTCAGGTACCAAGTGCTGGTGTGATTCTAGGATGTGCGAAGAGCCCCTGGATGATGGCGATTGGATTTCCCATCTGACTTCCTGGAAATTGGAGCACACAGTCAGGTTTTATTTGATTTTTTTTTTTAAGGATACCACTTCACAGCCTTTAGGATAGCTATTATTTAGAAGCAAAACAGAAGATAAATGTTGGCAAGGATGTGGAGATATTGGATTCCCTTGTGCAGTGCCGGTGGGAATGTAAAATGATGTAGCTACTATGGAAAATGATACGGCAATTTCTTTAGAAATGAAATATAGAATTGCTGTATGATCTGCAGTTCCACATCTGGATATCTATCCAAAAGAAGTGAAAGTAGGGACTTGAACGAACATTTGTACACCAATGTTCACAGCGGCTTTATTCACAACAGCCAAAAGGTGGAAGCAACCCAGTGTCCATGGATAGATGAATAGATAAATAAAATGTGGTATAAACATACAATGGGCTATTGTTTAGCCTTAAAAGGGAAGGAAATTCTGACATGCTGCAATATGGATGAAGCTTAAAGTCATTATGCAAAGTGGAATAAGCCTATCACAAAAAATAATATTACATAATTCTACTTATATGAGGAATCTAGAGCAGTCAGTTTCACAGAGACAGAAAATAGAATGGTGGTTGCCAAGGGCTGGGAGAAGAGGGCAATGGAGAGTGAGTGTTTAGTGGGTCAGAGTTTTAGTTTGGGAAGGTAAAAAGTTCTGGAGATGGATGATGGTTATGGGTGCTCAACAGTGTGAATGTACTTAATGCCACAGAACTGCACATTTAAATGTGGTTAAAATCATCACTTTTATGTTATGTATATTTACCACAATAAATAAAGAAGTTGATATTTCTTATACTTACAAAGAGGAGAAGGGCATTTGCAAATCAACAAGAAGTGTGAGGCCCCTCTCTCTAGCAGAAAAATAGACTAAATCTATTTCTTTATCTTTTAACATCCTGTTTAAGGGAAATGCCAAAACAAATGGGAAAAAATACACACACACAAATATATATGAACATGTTTTGCCTCATGAGTAATCAAAATGTGTACATATGTATGTTTATGTATGTGTGTTTATATTTAAAATCGTGTTCTGCCTTATGAGTAAACAAAAAGTATACAAATTAAAAACTATAATGAAACGTAATTTTTTAACCTATCAATTTGGCATTTTTTTTTGAATGACTAAATTCTAATCAGGGATTAAAATGACTGGTACAAGTGAAAACTTTCACATCCTGTTCGCATAGTAAGTGGCAATATGTATCAAGTGTTTTTTAAAGCATGTTTTCTAACTCAATAAATTTCATCTAGGAGTCTGGCTTAAAGAAATAATCCAGGATGCAGACGATGGTTTATTTGCAATATGTTTATTTAAGCATTAGTTATGATAGTGGAAAACTGGAAATAACCTAAATCAACACTAACAGGAAATGGCTGAATAAATTCTAATAGATCAAAACAGTGGAATTTAATGCAGTCATTTTAAAATGTGGGTTTAAAGCAAATTTTTCTATCTGGGATATTTTTTGTGATATAATGTTAAGAGAAAACCCACAATATGTAATGCTAAGTCAAGAATACAGGATGCTTGTCATTTCTAAAAAACATCAAGTGAGTATAACATGCATTTATGTGTGTACATATATTAAGACCAAAAGAAATATTCAATGTCTTCAAGGTGGTGGGATTTTAAAAAATTTTCATTTCTTTCTTTATATTTTTTCTGTATTTTCACAATGAGCAGTCAGGCAGCCAATTGGCCTTGTGTTGAGGTGCTCCAGAGGGCAGAACCAAGACTAGCAGCAGTAGGAAAGTGATTGAAGCTAATATCAGTAAGAAATTTCCAATAAGCAGAGCTTTTCAATGTGGAGCAGACCTCTGGGAGTTTCTTTCTGCCAGCCCAAAATGTTTCCAGCAGAGGCTGGGTGACCACCATCCACAGTGATCCACAGTGGGGAGAGGTCACAAGAACAGTGCATCCCAACCCTGGCTGGGCCACAGCATCACCCGAGGGAGGATAGAATGCAGATTCCTGGGCCATGAACCCTATCTACCTGGATTGAAACTCCAGGGCTGGGGTCTAGGGATATGTATTTGCCTTAAACTTCCCCAAGGAATTCTAAAGCAGCGAGACAAAGTTTCTACACCTGAGAATCCCTAGATTAGAGACTTTCAAGGCAGCTTCCAACTTGGAGATTCAAAGCAATTTTGCAATTCAAAGGTCTAGAGACTATTTGAGTATCTATCTTAAAAAAACGAAGACAACAGTATAGATGCAAAGGGAGGCACGGCTGGGGTTGAAGGATGGAATCATTTGAAGATCAATACTTTTTCATTCATTTATTTATTCAACCACCAATGACCAAGAGCCTGTGCTGTACCAAGTTCTTCATGTAAAGCACTTGGGATATGTTAGGGATCAAAACCGTTTCCTGCCCTCATAATGGTCACATTTAGGTCAGGTTAACATAAAACGTAGATTCTTGGGCCCAGGAATGACTGAATTAGAATCCCTGGAGAGGGACCCAAGAATCCATATTCTATAAATGTTCCCAAGGTGCTGCCTGTATACACTAATGCAATGTTGTTTTTCAAAATATGGGCTTTGACTCATAAGTGGTTTGTTATAGTAATTTAGTGAGTCAAGAAGCTTTTTTAAAAAATTAAAATAACAGAAAAAAGAACAGGAAAAGGAAAGGAAAATTAGAATGCTGACACATGGAAACAGTAACTTGTTTCATAAAGCTTCTGTTTCTGTGCCCTGGGCCACAATGTAAACTGGGTTTCAGATGGAAAACCATTGCTAGAAAATATGATATATAAAATACATCACTGCTCTAGTCCTCTCTAACCCCTGCACGCAACAGTTCTGTTTTAGTCCAAATCTGGAGGTGAGATGCTGGGGCACACTGACCACCTTGAGGAGGGACAGGCTGTTCTGGGAATTTGACTCACTGGGAATATCCCTGCTATAATGCCACTTCCTTTTTCTTTTGGATTGAGCCTAGGGCTGCACTCTTGCACAGATGGTAAAGTCTCCAGCACATGTTGCATCATTTTCTCTGGTAGACATGACAGAGCACTGCACACTATCTGTCCTGGCCTTCGTGGCAGAGTTAGAGCCGCATACAGAAACGAACTCCTGGGACCCATTGCTTCCATTTGCTAGGCTGCTTTTTAGGGGAACAAGAGAGCAGGTCTTATACAACCAATTTTCCAGGCCAAGTCCTGGGTATTTGATTTGGGCCCTTCATATCAGGTCAAAACCATATGCAACCCATACTTGGCAACCAAGATGAAAGATACCAATTGTTTTAAATAAAAATGAAACCGGACGGGGTGAACAAACCCACATAAGACAAGCTGAAAAGTCCTCCCAGGCTCTCTGAGAACCCAAGAGCCTGCTGTGCTGAGCAGACCAGGGATGTTCCTGTGGTTTACTTGTTTGCTGTCACGGAAGTTTTGCTGTCACTAAGAAGAAAAATCCAAAGGCTAATTCAGCATAAATGGTCCCCTTGGCTGCACTGAGGGCAGTCACAGGTGAGTCATAAACAGTGTTGAAAAGTAGAGATCCACCCTAGAGGCCTGAGACATGCTGCTTTTATCTCCAGCTCAGAGCAAGAAAAATGTCTCAGAAGGAACTGAAAATGGAATTACTCAAACTGAAAACTGCTGTCCTCACCAGGAGGATTCCTTTCCTGACCCAAGTCTGGGAAGTGCCACTGGTAAACCCCCAGAAATGAATTTGCTCATCAGTGAAGGACAGAGCTAGATATTCTCAGATGTACCCAGTGACATTTTCGCAGCATTAGAAGCCAAGCCTCCTTCACCTCAAACCAAATCACTGAAATGCTTGATTCTGTGCAGCTGTGGTAGAAATGCCCTGTATCAAAGGCAGGCTCCAGTACCACAAGCCAAAGATAAATAACAGAGGAAATGATCAAGACCATGACCTCTTGATGACCCCCTGGAGCTAAATCTTTGCTAGACCTCAGAATATCAAACAGGCCACCAGCCCGCCAAGAGCAGTTCATGAACAGTGTGGAAGCCACCTCAGCCTGCGAGAGCCTGGCTCTCTAGAAACTTGAGACATCCCAAAGGAATTTCTTGTTTTATCCTCCCAAACAGGGGTTTGTTAATTCTTTCTTCAAGTGAAGAAACCCTTTCCAAATAAACGTACCCAGAAAAGGTATTTTCCATTTACTTGGAAGTTGGGGTTGTATGTATCTCTTGTCCGGTGGTGAACTATTAGTATTTTGAAAAGTGTGTTCTCCCACCAACTAGCAAAAAAAATGAAACAGAAATACAAGGGCCTTCTCCTACTGGAGATTTTGATTATAGATTCAAACAGGCAAACATTATGGAGTGTTTACTATTGGACAAGTATTGAGCTAAGTTCTCAGAGGATCCTGAGTGGAACCAGACTCAAGTTGCTCACAGAGGGAAACAGTGGGCAGCTGAAACTTAGGTTTCTTTCTCAAATCAGTGTCATAGCACCTGAAGGAAACTCTGGGCCACCACTTCGAGTTTAGGAACCCCTGAGGCACAAGACAGCAACTGAGGCTGAAGGGACCCAGTATCTAACAAGCAAGACTTGTCCCCTAAATTGCCTTTGGAGTGCCTGGCCTGAAGACTGAGGCAAGCCAGCTAAATCCTCAGAATAAAAGATGTGGAGAGCAGCCAGGAGACACCACCTGATGCTCAAGGAGAAGGAGATCTTGACTGCACTTGACCGCACTAGGAGTGCAAATAGGTCTAATTTGCGTCTCTTAGCTGCAAGACTCACCGTGGAGTACAAAGGTCGATCAACGGAGATTATAGGTAGAAATAAGTGTCATTGTTTCGTTTACTCCTCTCTCCTCTTGTCAAAGAGGGCCTCAAAGTTTAGAAGACTCATGTTCCCGGCTGGCTTAAAGAAATGACTCTTCTTCTCAGGGCTTTGTCAGAAATATGAAGGGTTTGGTTAGACAAGTGGATTTCAAACTGCACTATAAGCTGGGCGTGGTCACGCACGCCTGGAGTCCCAGCTACTCGGGAGGCTGAGAGAGGAGAACCACTTGAACCCAGGAGGCGGAGGTTATAATGAGACAAGATCTTGCCACTGCACTCCAGCCTGGGCAACAGAGCGAGACTCTGTCTCAAAAAATAATAATAATGATAAAACAAAATAACAAACTGTGCTATAGTCATAGAAGTTATATTCAAATAAAACCTTCTATTGTTGTGTACATAAATCAAGTCCAAAGAAGAGCAGCACTACAAGTTAAAGAAGGAACACATTGTATTCCTCTAAGGCCCCCTCAAAGCAGTGTAAGCCATGGATAAAGGAGACTTCTCAGGCCCCTGTTGCCCAATTCTGAAACCCTTTTTTAAAATGCCCCTCAGACATCCATGACTTCTGTCTTTGGCCTGTTGTGGGGCAGTCACCCAAATAATGGATCAAGACCTTGTAAACCCAGAGCCTCCTGTTTCAGCAGGAGTCAGTTAGGCCAGGCCCTAGTTTGATGATGGGTAAGAATGACGGCTCAGACCTGCCTAATATAGCTGTCACTTTGGTTTTTCTGCCAAAGCATCAAGCAAGCAGTGAAAAAACATGAAATTAGGGAGGGAGGACTAATAAAATAGTTTCATGCATAGGACCTCAGCTTAGTATACTAGCCCTATTTACATATAGACAACCTATTCTCAGGAATCTCATTGTAAATACTCCTTGATTCAGAGAAGTATCAGTTCATATCCACTCCCTGTGAATGCCAAACCAGGGCCCTGTGTATGAAAATATTTTATTCAATCTCATGGTTGTCAAATATGTTTAAAAGTGGCCAAAGAAGTCTGAAAGATTTGATGCACCTGCATTTTGCATTATATTGCTTTCTCCCCAAAGAGGATATGTCTCTTTGAGTTTCACTGATCTTTATTATAGATTCCAGCAATTTTCTGACTCTAGTGAACATTTGTTGATTGTCCCCCTAACATCAGGGCTTAACAGCCTTTCTTTCCAGAGGTTTTATTTGAGTAGGCTTCCTTTCACTACCCTCAGTCCGTGTGGCCTGGGGTGGGGCAAGCCACCATGTGCTGGAGTGGTCAGAACCCCTAAGCCTGAGTTAGTCAGTGCTTCATGTTGTATTGGCCACACCAACTGGTTCAGAGGTAAAATAAACTTGAAATAAATTCATTCTGTCAGACTGGGACTCAGAACATTGCAAGAGTTTCCCACTGGACTTGAAGCAAAAGATCTGAGCCAAAGCTGCTGGTAGCCATGCCACTCTGTGGGGCAAGTCTAGAGCTGCCAGGGTCCCCATAGGAAGGTCAAGAATAAAGTTAACACAGAGGATGGGAGAGCCAAGAGATGGAGATAAACTGAGACCTGATGGCATCATTTGAGCTCTGAATTCAGCCCTGGCCTGTCTGCCTGTAGGAATCAATAAGTTCTTCTTTCGCTTAAGCCATCCTGATTCATTTTTGAAACTGTCATTCTAGTGAGAGAGATATACAGCATGCAGGGGCCATGGAATCAACCCCCCCACAGCCACCTCCCACATGGTCCTATTGCATGGTTTGGCCATGTCTAATCATTGGGAATTGTCTGTTCATTTGTTTTTCACCAATCTGGCATGGTAGCACATCTTTGAAGGTGAGGAGGGCATCGGGAAATATATGGAGAGCTTTCAAGTTTTTTCAATGACTGGGAAGTGGGGAACACAAGTGACATTTAATGGACACAGGCCAGGGATGCTAAATGGTCTTGAGAGGTATGGGACTATCCTGCCTAACACAAGATAGTCCACCCAAAATGCCAATAGCGCCACCATTGAGAAGCCTTCAGAGGGTGAGCTTGCATATTGAAATAACGCAACCCTGAACTATGGTAGGTCTGAAAAGAGATCCAATTAGTGATTATTTAATAGAAGAATCCATATGCAGTTCAAAATCTTTGAAAAGCGTAAAATAAAACCAAGTGTTGTCTCGAATACCTTCTTTGAGCACTGCCAAAATTCACAGAACCTTTCTGTTTATGAAAAAATCTTACACCAACGTTTCTCCCCTATAAGGCTGTAGAATTTAATTTTCTTACCAAGATATTTAAAATCAAAATTTCTCTGGGAACAGCACAGCCATGGCAGGCTCTCTTCCCTTCTGTGGCCTCTGAGACCTTTAAGAAGACACTGAATCACATGACTTCTCAACTTCCACATCCAAATTCTCTATTCCTCACTTCTTCCTCCTTTCTGAGCCTTTCTGCCATTGGCCATCTTTTTAAAAATGCACCCTAACTCAAAATGGGAAGGTCTGACTTTATTGTTCAGATGTGCTCAATTTGTAGGTTTTGTGTTCTCCTGGTTAGACTTAAAGTATGTATTGGTGGTATTTTCATCCAGGAGTCCAACCACTCCTTGACAGGGGGTAGTTGTTTGTTTTGTTCTGTTTCTAGAGACAGGGTCTCACTCTGTTGCCCAAGCTGGAGCACAGTGGTGTGATTGTAGCTCACTGCGCCTTGAAATCCTGGACTCAAGCAATCCTCTTGCCTCAGCCTCCTGGGTAGCAAGGACTATAGATTTGCGCCACCATACTCAGCTAATTTTTTCCCCTTTGGTGAAGAGGGGGTCTCGCTATGTTGCCCAGGCTGGTCTCAAACTCTGGGATCAAGCAATCCTCCTGACTGAGCCTCCCAAAGTGCTGTGATTGCAGATGTGAGCCACTGTGCCCAGCCTCCTTTTGCTTTATAGCATCTCTTATATATTGCTTCCTGGGTTTGCAGCAATGTGAGCTCAAACATCTGACAAGATGCTAGAGTCTTCACCCTGGGAGATTTGTAATTCACTAAAACTAGAATTTATGGTGTATTAATTTGGGTCCTCTGCAAAACAGACACAAAGACCAAATTAGAAGGAAAATGCCTATGAAAGATAAAGGGTACAGGGAACAGGAGTAGGCAGGGACAGCTTTCAGACAGTGACACAGGTCTGACACCTGCACTGGGAGACAAAGAAGGAGGGAAGGAGGACTGGCTATGAAGACCAAAGACAACGATTCAAATTTGAGATGACCTCAGCCTGGCCACTGCAGATCCCCAGAGCAAAGATTGACTGTTAGAGGAAGAAAATGGCCCAGCTTTTGTGCTCTGATAGCAGCTGACACCAGCAGCCAGCTACCTTTCTCACAGCAGGTTCTCTTAAAGGGAGAATCTGAGTGATGTACATGCTGGCAGCCATGCATGATGACTTTTTTTTTTAAGTAGAAGTTGTTTGGCATTTGTGGTGTGTGTGGGGTGTGTGTGTGTGTGTGTGTGTGTGTGTGTGTGTGTGTGTGTATTTAAAAGAAAAGAGATTGCCTTGGAAGTAGGAGTCTGAACTGTGACATGATAAAAACAATGCAAACCACAATAGAATATTTCTGTTTGCAAGACCAAGTCCCACCCACAACTTCTAGACTGTTGGCTTGGTCAAAAGAGAATAATTCTACACTTTACAAAGCAATGGGATTAGAAATGAAAATCAGCCAAGGCAAAGTATACTGAGACTGCTGGGCATCCAACATCCTGTGTTAGTTGTAAAGGGGGAAAAGCCCTCTGTTTTGGCCAGGAATCAGGGGAGTTATTTTAGGAGCAGCCTCCCCAGTGACCCAGACATTACCATTTGATTTCCAAAGCTCTAAAGAACGTAAGCCTTGAGAGCATTTTTCCACTGCCCTATGTTTCTTTCTCCATAGGGCTTTTTGCACAAATCTGCTGTAAATCCAGCATTCATCTTCTCAGGGGAGCCTGTGGAGAAGTGAATCATTGTTATTAGAGTGGGTGAGCCTGCCTAGAAGTGACTGGCCTGCCCATCCTAAGGACCTCCTGGCTTAGCATCACGTGACTAGCCAGCCTGGTAAAAAAGCACTCAGAATTTACCCATATGCATCAAATTTTACCAGCCCATCTTCTGCCAATAAAGTGCCCTAGATAAAAAAGCCCAGGAAATTACAGTCACTTCTACAATCCTTATGACATTTTCTAGGTGAATTTCTCTAATGTGAGCTGCCTCATGCTGGCTGCTGGGGAGATGAAGGAAAGGAATTCGGAGAAAAGTAAAGCATGGAACTATTCCTAAAGGGATGAATGACTAATTCGCCATTTGGGACACCCATGAGTAAACTCAGACCCTCCTATTACTCAAAAGGGAAAGACAAATCAGTTATAACAAGCAATATTAATTGTGCACTTCTGAATGATCTCATTTTATATTTAGAACAACACTCTAAAGAAGACTTCTCCAAAAAGCTCCTACAACTGATAAATACATTCAGCAAAGTTAGAGGATACAAAATTAATGTACACAAATCAGTAGTTCTGCTATACACCAACAGCGACCAAGCTACGAATCAAATAAAACACTCAACCCCTTTCACGATAGCTGCAAAATAAAATAAAATACCTAGGAATATACCTAACCAAGGACATGAAAGACCTCTACAAAGAAAACTACAAAACACTGCTGAAAGAAGTCATAGACAACACAAACAAATGGAAACACATCCCATGCTCATGGATGGATAAAATTAATATTGTGAAAATGACCATACTGCCAAAAGCAATCTACAATTTCAATGCAATTCCCTTTAAAATACCATCATTCTTCACAGAACTAGAAAAAAATCCTAAAATTCATATGGAACCAAAAAAAAAAAAAAAAAAAAAAAAGAAAAACCCTGCATAGCCAAAGCAAGACTAAGCAAAAGAACAAATCTGGAGGCATCACATTGCCTGACTTCAAACTATACTATAAGGCCATAGTCACCAAAACATCATGATACTGGTATAAAAATTGGCACATAGACCAATGGAACAGAAAAGCGAACCCAGAAATAAACCTAAATACTCACAGCCAACTGATCTTCGACAAAGCAAACAAAAACAAAGTAGGGAAAGGACACCCTATTCAACAAATGGTGCTGGGCTAATTGGCAAGCCACATGTAGAAGAATAAAACTGGATCCTCATCTCTCACCTTGTACAAAAATCTACTCAAGAAGGATCAAAGACTTAAACAGAAGACCTGAAGCCATAAAAATTCTAGAAGATAACATTGGAAAAACCCTTCTAGACATAGGCTTAGGCAAAGACTTCATGACCAAGAATGCAAAAGCAATCGCAACAAAAACAAAGATAAATAGATGGAACTCAATTAAACTGGTAAGTTTGTGCACAGCAAAAGAAACAATCAGCAGAGTAAACAAACAACCACAGAATGGGAGAAAATTTTCACAATCTGTACATCCAACCAAGGCCTAATATCCAGAATCTACAAGGAATTCAAACAAATTAGCAAGAATAAAACAAACAATCCCATCAAAAAGTGGGCTAAGGACATGAATAGACAATTCTTGAAAGAAGATATACAAATGGGCAACCAACATATGAAGAAATGCACAACTGAAAAATGCACAACATCACTAATGATCAGGGAAATGCACATCAAAACCACAATGTGATACCACCTTACTCCTACAAGAATGGCCATAATCAAAAAATCAAAAAATAATAGATGTTGGTGGGGATGTGGTGAAAAGAGAACACTTTTACACCTCTGGTAGAAATGTAAACTAGTACAACCGCTATGAAAACAGTATAGAGATTCCATAAAGAACTAAAAATAGAACTACCATTTGATCTAGCAATACCACTACTGGTATCTACCCAGAGGAAAATAAGTCATTATATGAAAAAGATACTTCCACATGCATGTTTATAGCAGCACAATTCACAATTGCAAACATATGGAACCAGCCCAAATGTCCATCAATCAACAAGTGGATAAAATACATTGTGGTATATATATACTGTGGAATACTACTCAGCCATAAAAAGGAATGAAATAATGATATTCACTGCAACCTGGATGGAATTGGAGACCATTATTCTAAGTGAAGTAACTAAGGGAATGGAAAACCAAACGTCATATGTTCTCACTCATAAGTGGGAACTAAGCTATGAGGATGCAAAGTCATAAGAATGATACAATGGACTTTGGGGACTTGGGAGAAAGGGTGGGAGGTGGGTGAGGGATAAAAGGCTACACATTGGGTACAGTGTATACTGCTTGGGTATGAGTGCACCAAAATCTCAGAAATCACCACTATAGAGCTTATTCATATAATAAAACACCACCTGTTTCCCAAAAACCTATTTAAATTAAAAGAAGAAGAAGAAGAAGAAGACATTGCCATTATTCTCCTTGGACAGATGAGAATGCCTAGGCTCAGAAAGTTTAAATCATCTGCCTAAAGTAACCTAGTTAGCAAATAGCTGAGCTGAGACTTGAACTCAGGTCATTCTGACTCCAGAATGTGTGGCCTTAACAATACCCCCCTATTTCCCAATCAGTGCAATTAAGGCAGGTTCAGATTTTGAGGACCCTGAAGTAAAACAATTTTGGGTTGGGCTTGGGAGCAGTGGCAACCCTCTTCAAGAAAAAGAAAAAAAAATGAAAACAAAGCAAACACAGAGTTTTAGAAGGGGTCCCTGCAAATGAGAGGGGCTGAAGCTACAGCCTCATTATCTTCACAGTAAATCTACTTTTGATTGTGATGGTGCTGTTATTGACAACAATGTTAATATGAAGAATAAAAATTATTCTTCAAATCCAAATATATGAAATTTCATTGGCTTAGGACTTTAAGATATTTTTTAGGTAACAAAATTGTTCTAGACACTCAGAGATCCCACATGCCCCCTTTCCAGACACCATATAATTTCTCTGAGTCAGAATCACATCCTACCTGCTCAAATTCTCGTCATGAATTTCACTTCCCCTTGCCTCAAATTCTCTTCAGTTTTCCTTGAATATCTATTGGGTTTACCTCTCTTTCAACATCTTTATTATTATCATTATTATTACTATTATTATTACACTTACTACTCACAATGTGTGCTAGACCACATATTGCCCTAAGCTGTTTTCTCACCTATGAAGAAACCTAGTATCATTTCCATTTTTCAGATGAGAAAACTGAGGCCCTAAGAGAGGAAATAGTTTGTCTCTGAAATTTACACTCTTAACCACTTCAACATAGTGCCTCAAATAGCCTGGGTAAATCAGACATTAACACAAGCAGACTCCATAGAGGCGAGAATGAAGTATAACAATCATAATGTCTTGATCAAGTACCAAATACAAGGCTAGATGTCCCGCGAGTCACATACTTTGACCAGAATCCCCTTCTGGCACCTCTGAATAGTGCAAGAACAGAAATGTGTTTTCAGTCAAATCAGCAATTCTGAGACACGGGAGACCTTGAAAATGTGTGATTCTGTGATGTAAAGTACAGTATATTTTTCTCTGGGTTACAAATTTTGAAATCCAAAGAGTAAGCTTGGTAGTGCCTAAATTTACACACTTATCATAGGTATTATACTTCTTTAGTCATTATCATGAATTATCTGTGCCAGAAAGATATACTACCCCTGAAAACTAGTAGCCAATCAGAAATAGTGTCTCAGGAACCTAGGTGAGGGGTAAAATTATGAGTCACACTGGCATGGCCATCTTCCTGGGGCTGAAGCACCACAGAGGGTGCCGATCTGAGTCCTGTTCCTTGAACTTGAATGTGTGAAAGAACCTCAAATTTCACTTATTTAAACCTTTTTATTTATAAATAAAGGCCATGAGACCTTGAGATGCCAAAGTTCACAGAGCTAATGAACATTGTTCCTTCAGCAGAATTAATGAACAGATTATGAGGTGAGTTTAGAGGACTTCCCACTGCACATTCTGCTCTCATTGTTAAAGACACACTGTTAGGTGCGACACTGGTAAACCTACATTAAAAAAAAATTCCTGTCTATGGCATAGATAGATATACAAGGCGTTTGCTAGTCTAGACTCTGCCTACCTAGCCACCATCACTTCCCACAATTCCCCAGCATGAATCCTGCCCAGAAGGTACTCACTATACCCTCTCCTGCCTCCGCCTCTGTGTAGGTTTTCTCCAGCCGGTTTGCCTTTCTCCTTATTCTTCACCCTATGAACTCCTACTCATTTGTCAAAACTCAGAAGTGTCACCTTCCCAGTGAAGCTTCCCATGTGAAGACCTCATTTCCCACTCCTCCATCTAAAAGATTACATTGATTCTCTTCTGCTCTCTCAACACACAGTTCTTTGGGCTTTTGGCACTTATCACATTGTAGTTTGGTTTTTGGTTTGATTTTGTTCCCTACATTAAATTCTGAGCTGCTGAAAGTCATGGTCACTGTGTTGTTCATTCTTTTTAATTATCTAATATGTGGGCACTAGGGGTATTGAAGTAAATCATAACAATAATAATTAACATTTAATCTCTACAATAATCCTAAAGGGAGGGTGTGGTAGAAGTGGACATGACCAGTGCTTACCAAGATTTCTGGTTCTCTTCTTGAAGCTAGGGGTGGCCACATGACTTGCTTTGATGGATGAAATTTAAGCAGAAGTGACATGTGTCACTTCCATGTATAATCATCTAATAAGAGGTACTCTTTCCCCTTGCAATGGTGGATCCTAAAGCCTTGTATTGGGCAGGCATCATTATAAGGTAGTGAAGGCTCAGTGACCCCCTGCTGACCCATGTTGGACACAGCATGGATGAAAAATAAATATTTGTTGTTTGAAATCACTGATAACTGGTGTTTGTTACTGCAGCATAACTAAGCCTCTCCTGACTAGTGTGGTGGGGGGCAGAGGGTGTCTAATATTATCCTCTTTTTATAAATGAATTGAGGTCACCCAGGTGGTAGGTGGAAGAGGGAGGATTCAAACTCAGCAGATGTTAAAGCTTGATGTTAAAGTTTGATATTAAAGCTTATCTTCCAGATCTCTATGGAATACAGAAAGAGGAATGAAACCAATCTTCTTCCATACTGACCATTTTAATTATTACTTCCTTTCCTGTTTCCAGCCATTATCAGAAATTGGTAGAGCAGCTATTCCTTCAGAGAATATCTAAGCAAATTCCATCCTTCTTCTCAAGTCTGTTAATATCTCCATCCCCTAATTCTACTTTGGGTGTGTTGGGTTTTGCTCACAGCAACTCTGGAAGGTTTGGGCACATATAGTATTTGTCTTTTGCTGAAAGCAATAAAGAACATGTCAGCACATGTTCATTTTCTAGTTAGATTTTTAAAAGTCATTTCAAGAGTTCCTTTTTAGTTTCTGCTAAGCAAACATAACCTTCCATTAAATAGCAAACACAAATGTTTGTGTGGTTTGCTTTCCTTAAAGAAATTATTATTTTAAAAAAAGTCAACTCTCTTTGCCAGTGGTATCAATGAGTTGGTAAAGCACTGAAATTAGGGAGGATGAGGAGAATACAAATTCAAGGCTAAAGAAAATATTATTGTTTGGCTAATTCAGCCCAAGAACCCTTCCAACCATGAAGGCTTAATACAGATGCTGTTCGTGAAGTCAGACTAGTACTAGGTAGTGTTTAAGAGCAGGGTTTCAAAGTCAAATGAGTTCACATTCAAATTCTGCCCTTTATTTGTTCTTTGATGTGGTCAATTTAGCTAGCCACTCAGAACCTTAGTTTTATCATCTGCAAGATGGGTAAATTACAGCTACCTTTGTACAATTGCTATAAGGATTCCATACTTGCATTAATTCAAATAGATAAAGCCCTTGACACTATTGTCTACTATCTGATAAACATTTGATGAAGAATAGTATTAAGTTTGCCATAAATAACACCTGTCCATCTGCATAGCTTAGGTTAAAAGAAAATCAGAATACTGCCACAGGGAAGTGGCTGCAGGACTCAGAGAAACCAGCTCAAGTTTGCTTATCTTCATGTTTCCTGTTCTTTGAGGCAATTTCTTGGTCAGGAAATTATGAGGGGGATTGGTCACAGGCAGAGATTGTGTTCTCTTGGGAGCCCAGGAGTAGGGTACTGTTAGAATTTCATACACATTCTCTAGGCCCAAACCAAATTCTTTTTTTCCTTAAAAGTCCATCTTTGGCCGGGTGCTGTGGCTCATGCTTGTAATCCCAGCACTTTGGGAGGCCGAGGCGGGCGGATCACGAGGTCAAGAAATCGAGACCATCCTGGCCAACATGGTGAAACCCCGTCTCTACTAAAACTGCAAAAATTAGCTGGGCGTGGTGGCGCTTACCTGTAGTCCTAGAGTTGGGAGGCTGAGGCAGGAGAGTTGCTTGAACCCGGGAGGTAAAGGTTGCAGTGAGCCACGATCACGCCACTGCACTCCAGCCTGGTGACAGAGCGAGACTTGGTCTCAAAGAACAACAACAACAAAAAAAGTCTATCTTTAATTTCTGTTGAATCCTATTTAAGTTTTATGCCCATATTTTGAATCCTCCCATATACTTGGAAAAAATTTGCATGTTCTACACACAACTCAGTACCTGGCTTTTCACTTTAGAACGCAGCCAGTTGGTAACTATGCGTGAGAGTGCAGTGATCCGCCTCACTCAATTTACAAGTGTGGAAAATGTGTGCAGATTGGCCAAAATTCATTCACCTGATTCCCAGAGATAGACATTTAAACCGTTTCCAAGTAGAACTTTCATGCATAGCCTTTGCGCCCATAAGCACACATAATGTCCACTTAAATTGAGAAAATGTGTGTTAGCACTGAAAGTTACCTGGCATGGTGATGATAACCCATTTCTTTTTGTTTGAAGTACCCATGTCTCTGGCTCCAATTAAAATCAATGCCCTGTAGAGATTGATGTGATAGTTTCTGCCAAGTTGGAGATTGGGATTGCATTCCTCACTCAGATAGGAGTGAGAATCTTTGGAAACTCCTCCCTCTTTTGTCTTTAAGACTTCACTTTGCTAAATGGACATAAGTTGAGACCGGCAGACATGATTCCCAACCAACTGGTCTTAGCCAACTCCTGTGTGCTTTTCTAAACCAGTGTCTTTGTTGGTGATCATTTAAATAATGATAAGTAGAAAGTAACCAGTGTGTGATAGCATTTGCTACTGTTCCCACAGTATTTAGAATTACAGAATGATTTAAGTCTCCACACAAAGTGAATGTGAGGGAAATCCAGGGCATCCGGAATGCTCTTTAGCTTCAGGGATTTGAGCTCGCCAGTAACAGAGCATTAAAGACTGCACTTTGTTGCCCCACATTTTCACAATCACAGCAGCAGAGCACCCTAGGTCTCTGGTGAAGGAATGACCCTGTCTTTTCCAATACCCAGACATCAGAAGAGTGGATGTAGTTCCTAAAACTCCTAAGGTAAGAGTTCCTCTGCAGAAAATAATCAAACAGTTCCTACTATGACCTGATGGCAGCTTTTAGGCCTGGGGTTTATTCCCAACTACTGCCTTATCTCATCCTGTGGCTGCAACTTATTACTTTTCTCATTATTTCAGTTTCTCTGTTGGTAAAAGAGAAGAAGGAATGTTTGTTACCATCAAATAATGATTGCACTTTGCATGGAGATCTCCCAGTGATGGGAGCAGCCATGATTAGACAGTTTATATGCATTGTCTCACATATTTCCCACAACAGTCCTAGGGGGAAGGTAATATTAATCCTCTTTTTATAGTCTTGGAAAACTAAAGCTAAGAGAAATTAACTAATCTGCCCACATGTATCAGAGCAAGTGAGTTGTGGAGTTAGGGTTCAAAACGGACTCCAAAGACTTCTCTGTCCACAAGTCAAATTAGATTTTATTTAATAGGATCCAGAATACATAATTCTGAACATTTATCTTTAGTGCCCAAAGTCCTTGAGAAATATATGACTAAAAGAATCTCTTACAGGAATTTGCACCAATGTCACCGTCAGTCACAATATTTATAAAGTACCCTTTATGCCCTGTATAATTGCAGTAACATTTTGCCCTCTAACCCCCCTTTCAGCTTCTCAAAACTCTATCCTTATCTATTGCATTTTATTCTCCCAGAAATACTGTGATTTCTCAGAGACGAGGAAACTGGCACCCACAGAGGTCAAAGGACTTGCTAGTCAATTATAGAGTTTCCTGAACTTTATCCAGTAAAATTTCTTGTGGGGGAAAGGGTGTGTGTTTATGCACATGTCATTCAATTAATTTCAATGGATTTTTTTTTAAGTAAAGGAAAAAGCATTACAACAAACCACACAGTACAGATTTGCTTCTAATGTTAATGCGCTTCCCCTTTCTTCTTCCAATTCCACCCTCCCAAAGTCATTTATAGTCATGGATTGGTGTATAATGTTCCACTCCAGACTGTGAAAGTCCATGAATTGAAGATAATATCGTAGACTGAGTCCTGAAGTCCAAGGAGTTAGGAAGTGTGATTTTTTACTTTTAGCACAGGAATCCACCTGAGATTTTCTCACTGGCCCTAGAGTCTATTTCTCTTCCCCTGTTTACCCCATTACTGAATCTCCTTTCCTAGCTATAGGTCTCCCAGCCTGACCATTTAGAAACTAGGCTCTAGGGATTCATCGGCACTGACTGAGTTTGGTTTGTTCCCAGTTGTCATTCACTTAACATACTATCTGCTCATCTCAGTGCCTAAAACATTGTGAGCCAAACCCACTCTATCACCCTAGCCAGCTGCCCATCAACCTCCTCTGAGGGTATTTTGTGGTCTCTAAGGATGCCTTTATAAGAACTTTAAATTGGGAGTAAAGCCAATATAGTGTGCACGCTATATTGTCCTGATATGAATCTGGCAGAGTTCTCCCATTAATCCCTTCCTACCATTCTCCTGACATGGTAAGAGTCTCTCTTGGTCTCTGTCCTAAAATTGTTTTACAATCATTTAACTTACACTCACATCACATCAATTTTGACATCGTAATGTGATTTGCATTGATTTGAGGCTGCCATCAGGATGAGCTCATAACTATGTCAAAACCTCCGTTGAGTAAATAAAGAACTGATTTTGAACGTGGGGAATGATGGAGGATGGAAAAATCACAGAAAGAGACCAGAAACAATACAAGCTCAGTAGGGAAATTTTAGACATCAAACATTTTTTTTTTTTTGGCACAACACACCAAAGGTCACTAGTCTCCCACATCAAATACACAGACCATTTTTTTAAACAAATCCATTTTAGTCTGAGTCTTGAAACAAGCCTAAAATATGTGATCTTGCAAAGATTTTAGGATAATTTTAATTTTGTTGTTTTTAAAAAACGAAGGAGGAACTATTCGAGATGTCAGAGGAGTGAGGGAGGGTGAATGGCCCTTCAACCCATCCAGAATGGTTGACGTTTGAATAACTGATCATGAAGAGCAAAATTCCAGAATCATATTCATTTTCGGGACTAAGATGCCACCAGAGGGGCAAAGCAGGCTCCAAAATGTGGCTTTGTGCCTGTTTTTAAAAAGCAAGCAGCCTCTTTCGTACTCAATTAAGGCTAAGTGTAGCACCCTACACTCTGCCCAAGATACAGCCTCCATGTTTATCTTGGCAACAATTCAAATGGAGGTTTGTGAGGGAGGGTTTGGCCGAAGGTGGGCGGACCCCGCATGAAAAAGTTCCTTCGCCCATATCCTCCTGTCTGAAGAAGGCGGATGGAGACGGAAGGTTTTCAGGCCGAGTTCCCGCCGACCTTAACTGGAATAACTTGCTCTCTTTCACATCTGCAGCTGTGTCCTCCTCAGGGAGTTGTCCGACTAAATGTGATTTTAAACATCTGTCAGCTACATCAGAGCTCCAAATTTAGCACTCGGAACATTATGTGGATTTGTGATGCTCGCTGGAGAACACTGGAACCGTAAACCGAGCTCACATGAGACAGGCGGGTGGTACGCGGGTTGGTAATTTCATCTATGACACATTGAATTTGGCTGCACATTTATGAATGTTATGTAAAGGGAAAGAGTGACCATTTCCTTGCAAATAGCTTTCTGAGTTGCCACAAGATCAATATCGAGAAGGGAAAGCCTTTACACTAGGAACGCTTATTGTATTCCTATCCAATCATTTGCCTGGAATTTAAAAATATTCCCCACGGGCTGGTTTTGTCTGAATTCCCTGAAACTTATTCTCCTCCCTGAGCTGCCTTTCTACTCCAGCTACAACTGTGCTCCAGTGTACCCATCCTAGAGGAAGATGAGTTCTGCGTAATTCTTGATTCCTGTTTGCCACCTTTGAAGATGTCCAGGGGCATGTGAGAATCCTCACAGGGCTGCTTTCCCTCCACTGGGTTGGCATTTCTGAAGAGATGTGCTGCCCTAGGGGGAAACTGTGAGACCAGTCCTTCCACGCAAAAACTCTCTGCTGAAGCAAATCCCTGGATGATTGGCTAGGAATTCTTAGTACACATGAAGGTTTGTAACCAATTCTATCAATTCCCAAAATCATGGTGCCCTTGAAGACAGACATGGAGAGACATAGCCCTGCAATTCAGCCTTTGTTCCTGATAAATGATTTATCGTAATATCACAGCAGACGAAAACTTGTGCATTTGCTTTACTTAGGTTGATTGGGTTAGTACAAATGCTCACAGCCTCCAACGTCTAGTTGTTCATTAAGCCTTTTCCACAGATAGAGTTAGTTTACACACCCCATATCACCCCTCTACCCCTACTCCTCCTCCCTTGCTCCCAAGGCAGCCTGTGTGTGCCTCTACTCTGATGTTAATGTGTGGTGTTATTAGGGAATGTCTTCAAATGCCTCTGTGATCTCTAAGGAGGCAGACATGCTGTTTGATTTGTCCTGTATTCCCGGGATTAAGACAGGCCCATAGACTGTGGTCAACTAACATGTTAAAGATAGTGAATAAATGCATGAGTGACTGCCACTAGTTTGAAATGTTTAAGAATATACCAACTAGAAGCAATGAAAGGTGGTTCCAGGAGCACAGTTGATGGCAAGAGGAGAATTCTTACAAATGTATCATGAATAAACCACGGCTGGATCATGCAGACATGTTTGTATGCAGAGAACTGACTCAACACAGGTCTTCCTTGCTGTTGGAGAAAGGGTAGGCCCATCCGAGGTACCAAACACCAGGCAAGGACATCCATAAGCCAAGACACAAGGAAAACAGTACTGTCTATATGGGGTCACTTGACGGGGGTTAAGCAGGAAGAGGCTTGTGCCTCAAAATGTCTTATTTCTGGCATCTGAAATGAGAGTGTTTTATATTTATTCTCGGAAGGCATGATGTTTCTTCCCTCTATTCATCCCACTTCTGTGATGACACACTTACCTTGAGAGTCCACATAGGGAATAGTTAAGACCATAGACTGTAAAATCAGACAAGATCAGGGTTCAAATCCCAGTCCACAATTCATTAAGAGGTACTATCTTGAGAAGGTTACTGGATCTCTATGTTAGCTCGTTAGGTGATTGAAGGTATTAAATACCCGGTGTGTAAATATCTGATACATCACAAATGTTCCATGTCATTAATATTATTATTCTTATAATTAGTTTGGACTCTTGCTTGCAAGTGACAAAAATGAAACAAAGCTGGCTTAAGCAAAAAATACAGGTGTGTCTCACAGAAATCAAGAGCAGGAATATACCTGGGCCTCAGGGAAGTTCTGTCACCTCTGCCCTTCTCTGCACATCTGCTTCATTCTCCTCTCTCAGCTTCTTCTCTTGTTAGGTCCACAGCATTGTTGGAGAAAACCCACTTCTCCACTCCTAAGCTGACATGTTGCAGGTTCAGCTACCCAAAAAGAAACCAACACAAGTCCTTTTCCTGGCCTTAATTTCATAGTTTGGGGAGAAAGACTCTGACTCATCTTGCATCTAGTGCTACTCCTGTTTATTCAGTGTGGCAGGAGTTAGTCATAGGTAGAGGCAGGGTCACAGTTACACCATGGCCCTGGGGGCTCGCTTCATTGCCAGGAGGCAGGAAGAGAGGGAGGGCAGCTGGATATGCTGGGGAGAAATCAAGAAATGGACAGATGCTGCAAAAGCTGCCTTCAAACTACTATGAGAGTGAGAATGGGACATTAAAAAATGTGAAGATGTGCAAAATGTTCTTCTTTATGAAAAAGTCCCACATATTGCATATATATTATGATCATAACTAAACTCACTTTTAAAGGTAAGGATTTATAGAGGACACAAAGAAATTGTTTTTATGCTATGGTGGTGAATTTTTAATGCCCTTTGATTTAATAACAAAACTTTGTTTAATGTGGAAAGCTCCTACAAAGATTAATAACCCTTGAGCCTTTGCCACCTAACACCTTAGCAAGGATTAGTTGACAACTGGCTGAGGTCCACGCCCCAGGGGGACAAACCCAGGCCAGGAGGAGGGGAGGGAGGGGGGCAGGAAAATGCCAAGGGCTCTGGGGCCAAGCTTCTCGTTCTTCACAGTGTGTGGATACTAAGACCCTGTCTTCCTGGAAAGGCAGAAACCTGGCTTGGAATTCAGAAGACTCCATTTTCACAGAATCTCAGTAAATTCCAGGCCAGAGACAGGGCAGCTACTAGAAAACTCCTTTGGTAATAAAAAGGCATTGGGAACATTGTGAAAGGGCACCACATGGTTCTCAGGGCAAGACCAGTGCCACCTTCCAAAGGCCCTACAGACGTCCTATAGAAATGTTTCTATAGAAACAAATAATCCCACACCCACCCCAGCAGCCTCTGTGTCCATCTGGCACCCCTGTCCCCAGTTGCCACCCCTGGATGCAATAAGAATAACCCAGGAAAAGTCTTTCCATTTAATCTTTGGCACACTGCATCTTCCAGCCTGAATGTCAATGTGCTGCTGCTTCTAATGTTTCCCTCAGGGATTGGGTAGGACAGGTGGTCACTGTCATGTTAAAACCAAAGACTTATGAAGCAACTTTGTGAGCATTGTGAGAGCTTAACTCCTACCCCAGAGACAGACCCCTGAGACTCTTGCCTGGACAGTGACCGAGGCTCTGAAATACAGTGGGTAAATCACATCCACAACCCGCTCTACAAAGTAGACCCAGTGTTTTTGAAATTGCTCAAGTTCACTGCCCTGAGACATGCCCAAATGTTCCCTTAAACACTGCTTTTATCTTAGCAAGCTCCAGAAAAATTCACTTCAGCCTAAGGGCTTTGAGTGAGTGTTCAAGGCCCAAAAGCCTGAGTTCTGGTGTCAGAGCCCATTCCCTTCTGCTCCCATGACTATTGCCTTAATTGAAAACCTTAATATCACCAACTTGTGCAACTCAGCAGTGTTTATCCAGAGCCCAGGCCTCTATGTCCTATAGAGTACAGACTTAGAAAGTTATCTCTACAATACATGTATTAAATAGCCATACATTCACTAAGGTAGTCAATTAATTGGGCACCTACTATGTGCCCGGTAGTGTGATAGGAGCTGTGTATAGAATGTGAATAAGCTTCAGCCCTGCTCAAGGTACCTCCAGTCCAGTAAGGGAAATGACAGTGCTGGCTGATTGATGTTCACAGGACCAAGGACAGGGTGATTAGCACCCATGAGAGAAACTTAACCGGATCTCCAGGAGTCACACAGAGAATGTTTTCTGCAGCAGAGGATAGTACTGCAGAGTCCTAAAGAAAGTTATAGACTTGGGCAGGTAAAGATGAGGAAGAAAATCGAAGCCCCTAGCCCCTCTGGCCACAGCCTCTGCCCACCCACCTCGTGAGGTCTGGCCATGATCTGAGTTCATGAAAACTGCACAGTGTACTTGTCTGTGTGGGAGTTGTATGGGGGTAAGGGATTGGACACCTAAAAATGAAAATAAAGGCTTTCCCTCTTCCACAACTTGTTATAAAATCTGACTTTCTGATTGACGGCTTAGAGAACCACCAGCGTTTTTTGTCAGAACAAGTGAGGTCAATCTAAATAGTTTATCAAATGCATACAGTACCTACTGTGCACCGGGTTGTGGGGGATGGCACATAAATTGGATATGACGAGATAGAGGGAGAAGAGACAAGAGAGATGGAAAAGCGTCCTGGGGTGGAGTAAAGAAGGAAGGAAAAAGGTCCAGAGCAGGTTAGGTGACCCACCAGCAGTTTGCTAGTGTACCTGCTGATTTTTATCTGTGGACCAGCAACTTTATCTCTTCCCAGACCAAGTAGGAATGGCTACTTGGAACGAGAAGAAATATCAGCAGAGCATCATAAGGCTTTCTGGTCTGTTGTCTCTGACATGCTCCAAATGTGGGATAAATACACTGTGGTGTGGTGCACCATTGGAAGAGGCTTTGTAGGCCAGGGAAAAGCTTAGCTGACCCATTTAGATGTCTCCTGGACCTGGGCCTCAGATTCAACAAAGCATAGGTGAAATGTGGGGCAAAGGAATCTTCAAAGGGGTCTCAGAGGTTTCAGTTCCATGAACATCTTCTCTAATGCACATAGTTAAGTCACAAGAAGGTATTAAATACTAAAATGTGTCATTCCAGCTTTGTGTGTTTCCACAGATACGTGTGTGTATGCACGTGGTAGTGTTGGCCATGTGTGACTTTTGGTGAATTGCAGACTTTTGTCCATTTTTACCTGGTGCAAAACTAAAGAGAAGAGATGCCAACAAACTCCTTATAACAGCTACCCAATCCATTCCATGCTCTTTGGAAGCCCGTTTTTATAGAAATTTAGAGCTGTGGGGCCATAGAGATTAAATGAGAACCTGTTTATTAGTATGCTTAGCATGTGCTGGGTGCATTAATCAATGATAAAAGAGCTCTTTCAAATTCCTCATTTTACAGATAAAGAAATAAGTCATTTAGGTAAATTGTTCAAAGTCACATGCTGCTCATTCTCTCACATATAAATTTTATGTACACATTCATGCACATCTTACTGAGCACCTTCCTGGTGCCAGGCATTGTGTGCAGGATGCTGGCAAACCCAAGTACTAGAAGGCAGTTATCTGGACTTCTAGTGCAGTGCTCTTCTTTTATATGCTGGAATTTACATTTAAGATTTTTTAAGTTAGAGGCATCATTCTGCCCGTCATCTTTATTAGGGGCTGAGCAGTCATGGAGGAGTGATCTCATTTCTTCATCATTATCTCTGTATTCCCTCTGAATATGCAAGCATTTTATTCAGTGGCAAAATGTGGAGAAAATATTTTGATCCCAAAAGATAAAATTATTATGAATTTTAGGTTTGTAGCTTTTAAAACAATCAAGGTGGGTAGCATGAAACACATTTAACAGTTTCAAGTGCAGTTTGCCATATTATTTCATTCGATTATTGTGTATTTTGTTATGTTAAATACACAATGTTAAAGAGTCTAGCCAGTTAACAAATTTACATGCCTCTTTCACGAATTATATTTCTAGGATGACATCTCAAGCTATTGAAGTTTGAGTTAATGAAGTTATCTGTGGATCCTTGCCAGGCAATTCTAAATCAGAGGACATGAATGAGGGCGGAATCCGGCCTTTGGTTATATTTGGTTTGGCTTGCAGAGTGTTGGTCCACACAAAGTTTTTAAAATTTTTTAGTTAATTTGCAACACTTAAAAATCAGGAAATAAAAATAGAGACTCTGACTTCTAAAAAATATCAGAAGTTCTTGGAATACTGAGCCACATTCTCACTCACTGATGGTCTGAATTGTTGAGGGCTGTGCACAGGGTGGCCTTGGTAGACATGGTAAATGCTCCCCACAGTCCACCTCACACCCTCTTCTCTATACCTGTCTGCTTCATTCATTTCATTCATTTACCTGCCAGGCCCTGTTGGCATTTGAGTTCATAGCCTTTGCTTCATATCAGGGGTCAAAATCTTTATAAAGCCACATGGAGACTTCCAAAGAATTTTCTCAGGGTGTTAAGTGCAAAATGATTCTTGATGATCAATAGGATTAGAGTGAAATATGCATTCATTTGCTCAATGTATATTATTGTCTGCTGTGTTCTAGACATGTGCTAATAATGGAGGAAACTGAGATAAATAAGGCTCAGTCCCTACAGAAGCCTATAGTCTATTGAGGGAGAGAAACAAAGTGATTAGAACACAGTTTATCCAAATGCTATGATGAGTCACGGTAGCACAAAGGTGGGGACAACAAAGACCAGCTCTAATTGGGGAATTTAAGGAACTTTAATAGCGCAAACAACAGCTGAACTGAATGTTTAGGGTTCAACTGGAAAAACAGAAAACACTCCAAGTTAGTAAAATGGGCAGTTTCATGCCATGGATTGGTAACCCAGGGATGATGGTTTTAAAACATGACCCCAGAAATTTTGACACTCCTTCCATTCACAGGCATGATTTGTGTTTCCACCACCCATTTGAATCTGAGTGGACTTGGGACTATCGCAACTTACAGAATAGTGGGAAGTGATGCTGAATGACTTCAGAAGCTAGTACATAAAAGAGAGCTTCAGCTTGTTTGCTGAATGGCACACACACATTTGGGGCCCTGAACCACCATGAAAGCAGACTGACCACTCTGAGGCTGTCACACTGTAAGGAATCAAGCCACGTGTCAAGCTGTGTGTGGATGCTCTAGCCAGCAGTCTTAGTCTTTGAGTCATCCCAGCCCAGGCACCAGACATGTGAGCAAATAAAATTCAGATGATTCCAGCCCCCAGGTGTGGAGTCATCTGAGTCTTTGAGTCTTCACACCTGAGGTCCCAGATATTGAGGCCAAGAGATAAACCATCTTGGCTATACCCTGTCTAGATTCATGACCCATGGAGTGGTTGTTTTAAGCCACTGAGTTTTGGGGTAATTTGTTACACAGCAATAGTAATCAGAATTACAGGTTATGGAATTGCTAAGAAACCAAACAAGACATTCCATAGATTAGGCATCCCATAGATTAGCAACGGCAGGTAATGCAGTTCTACCACCCCTAGGCCAGAGAAACAGAGGATTTGGTATTGATGAGGCTCAGGGTTTAGGGTTACCTGGCAGAAGTTAGAACATGGCTTTTCCAAAAGAGTTAAAAATGGGAGAAACAGCTGGGGCTTAAGATACCATCCAAGGAAAAGAGAAATAATTGTTTCTTTCTCTTTCAGCCCTAATATCTTCTGCTATTGCCTTCCATTGGCATAACCCATCCAGAAGCCTACAAAACACAGCCTCCAAGGGTCATTTGCTTGCAATACAGAGCAGACGAAGGGAAGGCAGGAAATGGATCAGAGGGGACCAGGCCCAGGATTGGCACACTAGTCTTGAAGAATGAGTAGAGGGTCACTAGACAGATAAGGAGAGATATCATTCCAGACAGAAGGAACAGCAGAAGGCACATGGACAGCATGTTCAGGAAACTTCAATTAACTCTCCACAATTGGAATGTAGTAGAGATTCTTATCCCCACTGTACGGACAAGAAAACTGCAGTTGCAAGAGGTTAATTGTGGTGGTCATTTGTCATGTTGGGAGTTACCTGGGCCACAATAGCTTCATGCTTGGGGAAATCATCTGCTGTAAACATCTTGGTGGGAGGGAGGGTACTATCAATCAATATGGAAACCAAAGGGGCTGACCCCACCTCTGTCAGAGCTAAATGATCCCAATTGGACATTTTTGCCCAGAACTTGGAATATTGAATAATACAAAGATTGAGCGTTGAAAAATTATCCATAGCATCAGTGATGGCATTGGGAGTCCAGCACCACTGGAAATGAGTGTCCAGGGGCAGCCTCTGAACCCTCCTTGTCTTGATCTTGGCCCTCTTACCTGCTGTGTGATCTTTCTGGACTCTTGCTAATTTTCTGAATCTGATCCTCCAGGCTTCCAGTTAATTCTGTGAACTATCTAATACTTTGACAACAAATGCCTTTCCTGATTAAGTTAGAGTCCATTTCTGTTGTTTGCAGTCAGTCAGTACTACAATAAGTAAGAATTTGTGCTCTTTGCCACTATGTATAACATTTATTTTGAGAACAGTAGGTAGATGGTAAAGTGAAAATGAATCCAGACGAAGACTCTAGATACGTAAGTGTGATATAGATCTTTCTGAACTTGCTCATCACAAAAGGGACATCACTTAATAAGGGAAAAATTTAAATTACCAGCTAACATTTTATTAAGTACTGTAATAGTTTCCTACAGCTGCTGTAAAAAATTATTAAAAACTTGGTGGCTTAAGTCAACATGTACGTATCATCTTACAGTTGCAGAGGTCAGAAATCCACAACATCTCTGAGCTCACATCAAGGTGTCAGTAGGGCTGTGTTTCTTTCTGGAGGCTCTAGGTGAGAATCCATTGTCTTGCCTTTTCCAGCAACTAGAGGCTGCCTGCATTCTTTGCCTAGTGCCCCCTTTTCATGTCCAAAGCTAGCAATGGCAGGTTAAGTCTTTCTCATATCTCATCACTCTGAAACTGACTCTTCTGCCTCTCTCTTCAACATTTAAAGGATCCTTGTGATTATATTGGGCCTACCCAGGTGATCAGGTTAATCTTAAAGTCAGCAGATCTGCAAACTTAATTCCACATGCAACCTGCTTGCCAGGTAGCATAACAGGCTCTCAGGTTCCAGGGATTAGGATATAGGAATCTTTGGGAGGCTATTAGTCTATCTACCACAAGCACTTATTATTTGCCACTTTTTAATGTACTTCACTTAATCCTTACCACAACCCCTTGAGGTAGGCATTGTTATTGTTCCTGTTTTACAGACGAGGCGACTGAGACTCAGAGAGAATAGCTGGCCCAAGGTCACACAGTAAATGGCAGACTGGGCACTCAATGCCAGGCCTGTCCAGCTCTGCTAGTCAATTCTCCGAACTCATTCTATTTTTTCTGACCTTAAGGCCTTTATATATGTTGTTCCCTCTGCTCAACCCTCACTTCCCCCTTCTTCATCTGACTGCCTTCTTCTTATCTGGCAAACTCCTAAGTATATGTCACTTCCTTGGGGTCCTCTCTGATTCTACAAATGAGGCCAGCCCCCTCTGTTGCATGTATTGTGATTTTGTTTGATCATTTGTGTGCATTTCTGCCCTTTCTCAGAATAAAATGCCCTGTCTTTATCAGGGCCCTCCAAGCCAGGCTCTGCCCTCCTCCAGCTTCATCTCTCCTCCACTTTCTCCCCGACTCTGGCCATTCTCACCTTCTTTCAGCTTGTTGAAGTCACCAAGATTTTTTCCCACCTCAGGATCTTTGCACACATCCTTCCTTAATCTCACCGTGATTCATAACAAAACAATACAAGTGACAGCTATTTGGGTCAACTGCTTTCCATTTTGGCCTAATTACCATACGGCTAGAAAAAATAGTCAAAACACATGTCAGATTAGCCTGTGTGAGCTTTATTTGATTACAACAGTAACCTCCATTCTGTATGCTAACCTTCATGGCTGGTTACACATGTAAAATGGTTGTCTGCTCACAACTTAGACATCAGAGGGAACGCTGGGTGTTAAGAGACTTGGGAAATTATCCAATGCGTTGATTTCTTGCAGTAAGGAATGGTTAAAGCTGTGATGGCTATTTTAGAAGGTCTGTCTCTACACCTACTTTCTTTGCTTCCAAAATTCTAGCCGTGAGAGAGAGTGGGAGGAAAGGGAAAGGAACGGGAAGGAAAAAAAAGCGGGATTTATATAAACATGATAAATCTGTTATATTACCTACATTACACACTGGACGCATTAAAAAAAAAACAACAAAACTCTCAGTTCAGAACAACTGCTGCAAATCACACATCCCTGATTATATGGCAGTATTCCTGGTGGGAAAGCCAGAAGTAGTGAAGGATGGATTTTAGCATGTCCTATGTGCTTATTTATGGTGCAGCACATCATCAAACAACACTTCACAGGCTCTAAGCTGGCAAACTGGAGGGCTTTGAAGAGAAATAATGAGCTGAGAGGTTCATGACATGCCATTAAAAAGTTTGTGATTGGATTTGGAAAGTCAGATGAGTCTCCAAGGGAAAGGGACTAGTTCTGAGCTGTTGCACTTAGAATATTTTTGAGCCCCAGAGCAGATATTTATGAGAAGGGAGAGTTGTTTTTGTCTCAAATCCAGGTTCTGACTCTGATGTGTAGTGAGGAAGCCGCTTTGCACTGCAGACCTGAAGTCCCGGAATATCCATGATGTCACCTTTTTCTACTGATCTGCCTGCCACTGCACAGAGGCACGCTATTAGCTCTGTGATGTTTTAGCTTAATTCTCCCACATGTGGGTTGCAATTCTAGCCAAAACAAAGTCGGCAGGAGATTTTATAGCCACTGAATTGCTCAAGGTGCTACAGGCTCAGTGAAATCAGGAAATTAGGTTGGGATGCATGAACAAAAAGATAAACAGAAAGAAAAAGCATCAGGATGGTGGGATTCGAGGTTGCCTGTTACGTGATTTCCAAATCAGGAATCAAGCCTTCGGTTTTGCAATGGGTGATTTGATGCTCTGGGTTTTCACCTTTGAGATTTTAATGCTTTTCTGGCATATATGATAGAAGAAAGCACCCTGTTCCAGGTGGTGAACCAGAAGTCCCTCTCACTAAATTAGAAAGGAGACATTTTAGGATATGAGATCATGAAATAGAATAGTATTTGAAAAGAAAAAAAAATGAAAAGAAAAAGAAAAGAAAATCACATATATGCAATAACACACAACTAGCCCAGCACAGGGTGAATTTGTGGTTAAGCCATTTTTTTCCCATTGCAGATGATACTTTAACTCTTTGAATCTCAGAGTCCTCCTGCACACATGCAGCATGAAAAGACGTTTCTGCGGCTGCCATCATAAAGCCAAGCTGTACCTCAGGTTGAATTAGGAAGGTCCGGGGTTCTGTTAGTGTTCTGATTCTGAGACTGCAGCTCTTTGCCTGAGATCATTCTGCCTAGCTCTCCTCTCCCTGCCAGCGCCTTAATAACGTAAGCCCAAGACCCTTGCTCTCAGATCTTTTGAACGAACAATGGTGCTGGGCAATCACACCATAAAGGACTATTTGTGATCATTAGGGAGAAAAGGGAGGGGGGTAAAATGTTATGCTAATCAAAAGCAACAACTGTTATTTCTTCTTCAGTGCTCTTCACAAAAGTCACATGGATGATGGTAAATCTTCGAGCTGATGCCAGATAAACTCTGAAATTTTAAAGTATTTGTTTCATATGGGCAAAGCTTTTCCTTTTTTTCCCCTTTTTTTCTTCTCTCCCTTTACCCTGTGGGAAAATGAACTTATTTTCAGTCACCCCTGACATCTGACCACTCAACTGATCACGAGGACACTGTGGCAAACCACAACTCAACTTGAAATTGTCTCTTTTAGGCTCGGTTCCTGTACTTTGGATGGCACCATCCTTGCTACCCAGCATTAGCTTTTTTTCTATGGAGGTTCCATTTTTACTTTCTTCCATTTACTCAAAGTAAGTGGTCTTGCTGTAAAGTCTCTCAGTTGGGCTTGTCCTCAAAATAAACTGAATGCAAAAATGACACCAACTTTTCAGCCAAAACCCCAAAAGTGGCCCATTTACACAGTGTGTCCTTCTTTTAAAAAGAAAGAAAGAAAAAAAAAAAAGCATGAAAACCTTAAACATCCTGCAAAGGGGGAAGGAAAAGCCAAGTCTCTTGATTAATATCGAGATGATACAGCAGGGTTTATACATATTCCTTCTGTTTGAATCATCTTGTTTTTTGTAGCTGTTTTACACCTCCAGGATCCTGCCATCTGCCCACTCTAAAGAAACACAGCAAAGCAGTCCAAAAACAATGGCTGGAAGGAAATCATTGTGATCTAACTCAAGAGATCAACTTGTCTGCACCCTTTCGGTTACTGCTACTCTTCCTGGAGAGAATACAGTGTGGTGTGGCCCAGAGGTTCATATTATGGGGGGGCGTTGCCTCCTAATAAGCCCCCCGGTGCCTGTCACACCATCGGCTGACAAGACAGAACATGGTGTACGGATCTGGCTGCCCTCCTGGCTGAGGAACAAGGAGGAGGAGGGAGTGGGCAGCGCCCTGGGCAGTTATGTCCTACTCATATCTGGTGTGTGTCACTGGAATATAGGTCAGCATTTGCTGTACAACTTGGGGCAGGCTGGAAGCATGCAGACCCCGGATTGGGCCCAGGAACCCCCACCCCCACTCTCTTCTTGCCTAAAACAAGTTAACAAGCCCGAAGAGCATTGAGAGAAGCCATCAGGACAGAGGAAACCAGCCTTTCCATTTTGCACGCAAATGCTGGGGAAATCTAAAGCTTAGCAAAGGCGTTATCAGTCCTGGGGTTGGGCCAAGATGCAGGCTGAAGTTCAGCTGGCCAGGCCAAACGCAGCTGCTGGCTATTCAGGCTTCCCACAGGGACTTTTCCTCAACTCCTGATTTAGATAGTGAAATGGATGGGTAATGTGTACATAGCTGCCAAGGGTGATAGGAGAAACAAAATGACTTTCAGTTACTGAGTAGTTCAGGTGGAGGCAGAGAACACAGAAAAGGTTTTCTTTCCAACAGCAAAGTGAAGTGTCCGTTAAAGAGCTGCTGGCCTTGCAGGGAGATTATTACTTTAAAGGAATATCGGCAAATGCTTTAGGCTGAACATTTGGGCTTGCTTACTTCCGTTTTTCCCCGCAGTTCATAGAGGGATAAAGATATTACATGAATTGGATTTTTCTTGTGAATTAAAATATCGATGCCCTGATTTTTGGTAACGAATGTTGCCAAGTTTGTGCTGAGCAGACAGAAAGGAGGAATAGGACTAAGGCTTTGCCTTTGGGGAAATGCAAAAAGGGTTCACAAAAAAATGTCCCATTGATTGTCCAAGGTCACTGGACTATGCATGCTCAAAATGGAACTCAAGACTCCCAAACTGCAGTGTCTGACTCATTGTCCTTTGACTAAACCAATGAAAATAAAATGGGTTAGCACAGAGTATTGTTCCAGGACAAAAAGTTCAGAAAGCCAGCAGAGCTTCAGGGAAAATGGGATTTTCTTTAATTAAGCTGACATTGAATGCCTCAGTAATAATCTTGTAAATTTGAATTTATCATCTGCAAAGTAGGCATATTTGTGATTTCCTAGCATGCAAGTTAACTTAAAATTTAGTGAGTATCCCTTATGTTCCTGGCACTGTGCGAGGCATTTTCCCACACATTATATGATTTAATCCTCACAAGGATCTAGAGAGTCAGATATTATTATCACTGTTTTACTGATGAGACTTAAACTGATCAATGTTCCGCTTGAAGTCTAACTGTGGAGCTGGTATCCAAACCCAGGTTTCCTCACTCCCTTATGGGTTTGTTTGTTTGTTTGTTTGTTTGTTTGTTTTGACAGAGTTTCGCTCTTGTTGCCCAGGCTGGAGTGCAATGGCATGATCTTGGCTCACCGCAACCTCCACCTCCCAGGTTCAAGCAATTCTCCTGCCTCAGCCTCCCAAGTAGCTGGGATTACAGGCATGCACCACCACGCCTGGCTAATTTTGTATTTTTAGTAGAGACAGGGTTTCTCCATGTTGAGGCTGGTCTCAAACTCCTGACCTCAGGTCATCCGCCTGCCTCAGCCTCCCAAAGTGCTGAGATTACAGGCATAAGCCACCGTGCCCAGCCTCCCTTATGGTTTTTACAGCCCTTTAGCTGCTTCTTTTAAACAGCATCTTGTCCTGTGTAATTCATATCGAGGTTGGTTGTTGTAAAGTTTAAGTTCCTAGATGAGACAAACTATGAGAAAAAAAACAGAGATTTTTTTTTGAATTACCTACTTAGAATATTTTGCCCAAATATGAAGGTTTTAAAATGTAGTTGAATTGGTCATAAAATTTTATCTTCCCTTCTACTTAAATAGTGCATAAGTTTATAAATAAATGCTATGAGGAAAACATTATGCAACCTGATTAAATTCTACTGTGGTATTTTTAATGCATTGAAATGTCTGAACATAAACTACTTTGGACCCTATAAGAAGAAAATATTGGCCTAAAATTGAAAGATTGAAGATGTTAGCAAATAGGTGATTCAATGCTAAGTGCATATTGACAAGGGAGGAAGAGGAAAGTAAGTTTAGTCAGCATCTTAGTTGGAGGGGTTGGATGCCAACCTTTCTTAAAATAGAGGAAAGGGACATTGGGTAATCTCTTCTCTATTTTTTGCCTTTCCAGTTTAAAAAAGGAAAGATATGGGGATAAGAGAAATAAGTTAAAAGTTCTAGGAATACAGAGATGAAAAATAGATTGCACCTTCCATCAAGGGTCTCCTGGTCCAGGAGGCAGGCAGACACATAAAACATGATGATAGAGGAAAACATAGGAATATGGGTAAGGCACAAAAACAAAGCAGAGAAGGAAGTAATTACAGAGACAGAGAGACAGAGAGAGAAAAGAGGAAAACTTGAGGTGGAATTTAAAGATTTTGACCAAATAGAAAACAGAACAACAAAAAAGTCTGTATAAATGCACAGAGCATGAAATGGGCTGACATTTTGGGGCCTAGAAGGAATCTGATATTGCCGGAGGGGAGAACAGGAAGGACTAAGTGTGGAGAAATGAACTAGTGAATCTGTTAGGAGGTGGGAGCTTGAATATGGTGTGGAGAGCCACTGATAGGTTTTTAAAACTGGATTTGAGTTTCCAAAAAATTACTCTTGTGGTGGTGTCAAGAATGAATGGCTGATCATCTGATCAACAAAATGAAAAGCTGGTTGTTTCAAAAAAAGTAAGTAGATGAACTCCTGGCATGACTGATTTTTTTAAGAGGCAGAAATAAACAGTACTAGACATGAAAAGGGACATTGAAACAAAAAGTAAATATTTAAAAATCATAAGAGAATCACATGAACAACTTTAGGCCAATATATTTAAAACTTTAGATACATTGTACAATTTTTAGAAAGCATAAATTATGGAAATTAAGTTGAGAAGAAATTGACATTAAATAAACCTATAACCAGCGAGGAAAAAATTAATTCAATAGTCAAAAATATTCCACAAAAGAAGACTAGCTCCAGAAAACTTTGCGGACTTTTTTTTTTTTTGAAAAATTAAAGGGAGAAATAATAACCCCTAACAAATAACCATTCCAGAAGAAAAATATTTTACAAATATTTTATAAAGCTATTATAACCCTGATGTCAAACCCGGAAAAGTACAAAATGAGAATCAACCTCACATACAAACAGACATGCCAAAGTACTAAATAAATGCTAGCAAGCAATCCAGATGGAATATATATATAAATATCATAGAAAATAATTCTTACATTTCATGTAAGAATTTAACATAAGAAAATCAATTATATAATTTATTATAGACATATGATGATAAATAATGAAAAACATTCAGTAAAATTTTACACCTAGTCATGATTTTTTGAAAAAAAAAATCTTTGCCAACTGGTTTAAATCATAGCTCCATGATATATTAGTTATTAAATTTTAATTTGGATAAAGATAAGCTTTGTATGAAAATGGAGAAGAATAAATTAGAAGAGGAAAGAGAGTAGAGGCTAAGGGAATGATTAGGAGGAGGTCATGGTGGCAAATCTAGATAGGAGATTCAAGATGTCAAAGGCTGGAGAAAAGCTCTGATGCCAGAGACAGAGGAGAGGGCGGATTTCAGTAATAATTAAGAGGGAAGATTGATAGAAGCTGGTGATTGATTGGATGTGGGAGGAAGGTTGTAATGAAGAGAAAAGAGTCTATTATGACTCTCAGCTTTCTAGACGAGGTGGCTGGGTGGATGGTAATTCAATTAACCAAAATAGAAAATACAGTTTGAAGATTGGTCTGAAATTAGCAAGTATTTCTTGTATGAGAAGGAAATGACTATTTAAGAGAATTTAGTGCCAGTAGCCTAAATTTTTTTTTTTTTAAAAAAAGGACTTTTTGCCATCACCTGATTTCAATTAATATCAAGAGGAAAAATAAAAAAAGTATTATGGGCTTTTAAAGCCCAAGCTAGTACTGCGCCAGGCAGAGTCACTACTTGATATAGATTTGTTGCACTAGCCCAAAGCTGCCAGCAGTTTACTCAGTATACGGATAGATAAGGAGATGAGGGTTTTGGATAGCCAGAATCACAGAAGGTAAGAAAAAACATGGTTACCTTGTAAGTATATAGAAAATGTAGAGTTAAGTATTGCCTAATAATGGCAATGTTATTGATAAAAGTATTTTAACTTTGAAAACAGAGCGAAGAAGGAAAGATGTCTCCATTTCCTTACATCTTGCTCTATTATATCTTTCATTATGTTTTTATAAATAGTTATTACATTTTTGGGTTATCATTAAGATTTCTTCACAAAAGGTTAAATTTTGTAGAAAATAACAAAATATAATATTTTGGTCCTCAATAATTCCTCTGTGCCCAAGGCACTGGACCCACCAGCTAGCAGCTACCAGAATTGCCCTTTTCTTCTTCCTCTTGTTGGAGAAGGGAAAACTTTCTCCAGTTTGCCCTCAACTTGATGATAACCATGTAAGTCCCAGCCATTATGCTGTAACTTGAATGTGTATCAAAATCTGTAGAAATAAACCAAACCAAATTACCATTTTATTATGTATGTGCAAGATATTGAGAAAGTTATTGGTTAAACATTTCCACCCAGCCTGGGAAAGAAAGGACACTACAGAATGTGGAAGGCCACTACCAAAGTGGTAATATCCAACTGAAAGCAGCATCGGGCAGCTGCTGAGATGTTTTGCTAATAACAAGACAGTTGAAAATGATGATAACTTCATCTGGCTTTAAGGAAATTCATTCAGGCACAAATTGGGTGCAGAATGCTGGAAAAGTCTGAGTGGCTCATCTAGAGTTTGGGTAACTATTTCATCACTGCCTGGTGCTTGCCTTTCAACCTTTGGAATGCCATATTTCAGATGGCATTAACCAGTGACCAAGCTCAAATCAGAGGGAGAATGTTCTAGAACCTGCTGCCAGGAGCAGTCTCCTGCTGATCCAATCCAAGTGGCAAGATCCACAGCAGGACAAAGGAACTTTGGAAAGGGACTTGAAAAGAGTTCAGTTACTCTGCGGTTAACCCATCAAAGGCATCTTCCTGTAACCCAGAGGACAGCAGGCCTCGACATGTGCTGGCCATTTGGAAAACAGATTCATACAGAGCAGATCAAACATTTCAGGAGAGCCCCTTGCCTTGAAAGGATGGAGCCTTATGAAAATCATTAAGCAATTCGTTGATATTTATTTGCTTACACTGTGCTTCAGCAAAGCAAGCAGGAGACAAGGATGAGAGCTATTGACCCAGTTTCAGAGGCTCTAGTTCAGAAAAGAAGGATTTCCTTACATGTTTGATTTCAAAGAGTCTTTTAAGAAGACATCCTACCACATGGCTGGCATAGGGAGGCTGTCTTGGCTTCCTTCAACTGTGTATTAGGTTAACAGCCACCTCAAGCTTCTTAGAAACCTAGAAATCCCAAGGCAGTTAAAGAAATTCCACAGAGCTAAGAAAACCCTCTGCAATCTCAGAGCTTTAAGCAGAAAAAATATTTCCAAATATCTTCCTTTCTTAGTCTGTGCCACTTTGTGTAACCTACTCCCAGCCTCATAAAACATGTTGGCTCCACAGCGTGCCCAATCGTCTGTCCTTCCTAATGAGCCAAACTCTTAATTCATGGTTCAGCTCCCATGAGCCTGGAAATGAACAAGGAGCAAGTCCCTATTTTCACTTTGAGAGTTACCAGGTTATTGTGCATGAGTTCCTTCTAAACCAAAGTAATTCCACTGTCTGATAAAAGGAACCGTGCTTGCTTTAAAGTTTAAGGAAGTAGCCCCTCACATCCATCAGCCTCCAGCCTCAACTCCCTGTTTACTCAGATGCAAAATTCCTGTGATCAGAGAAGGGCTCAGCAGAATGTAATCATTCTTACACTTTGGGCTTTCAAATGGTGTGTTTGTTTCATCTATGCTATGGGGAATGCCAAAAGCATAGCCTCCGAGGCTCTGGGAAGCTGGGGAGGCTGCTGGCTCAAGGAAATTGGGCTCAACTTCTCCTAGAACATTACAGAGGTTGCAAATCTGTCCTCAAATATTCAACACATATGTTCTAAAATTCATTAAGTTCCAAAATTAAAAAAACAAATTTTAAAAATCCAGCATTGGTTCTTGTACAAAGCAGATATTCAAGGAATGCTTGTTGACTGTTGAATCTGTTGGCTGATAAATATGAGAAATACAGTCTGGTTTGTACCACATGGCAGCTCAAGTTCCTAGGAAGACATTTTTCCCTAGTTTGCCTTTAGACATGTTTTAGAAAATGAGTTACCTAAAATAAACCCTGCCTGTCTTTGAAAGAGTACTTTCCTTACAAAACCTTCCCAAAACTCTCCCCTTTATGATTTTGGGGGGAACAACTGTCACTTGACTTTTAATTGTTAATTAACCTTTTGTTACCGCTTCAACTACATGGTCCTCAGAGGGCAGAATTCTGTTTTATTATTTAATTACTTTTTTTGGTAACTCCCTTGGGATCCAACATGGTTCTTGCACAAAGCAGATACTAAATAATTGTTCATTGGTTGATAGATTTGTTCATTGATAGGTAATAGAAATACAGCCTTATTTGTGCCATATAGCAGCCAAGCTTGCAGTACACAAAAAGCATCATTCTCTGCTACTTTCTTATAAGCCCATGCTTAGAAGAAATGTCTTAGAAAGTCTTTTCTGTGGTCTCAAGTTAGCTTTGGACATCAGTATTTAAGAGGGAATAATATATTTTATAAAATAAAATAAGATTGGAAGTATATAAATATTATCACCGCAAATATTACAACACTGCTATAGCATTTTCTGTTGCTTGCCAGAGACATTTGTTAATGTCTAATAGGCTCATGACATCCATTTCTGTAGTAGACAGAGGCACCTTGATTATGGCAATTCCTTTGTAGATGAATGAATCAGGCTTTTCAGACAAGATCTAACTTATGATGCTTTTGTATTGAAGGAAGGAAGGGGAAGAGGGAAGGGAGGGAGGGAGGAAGGAAAAGGATGAAAGAAAAAGAAGAAGAAAGGGAGGGAAGGAAGGAAGGGAGGGAGGGAGGGAGGGAGGGACTCAAAGTGTCTACATATAAAATTTGACCACTTGTTAACTACTGACATGTTCACGTAACAAATATGCCAGTATAGGAAATTTAAAAGAAAAAAAAACCAACCCTAGAAATATAATTTGAAGACGTTTCCTTCATAAGACTTTGTTATCATAAATGGCAACTTTATCCAACTTGATCTGACTTTATCATAAATGGCAACTTTATCCAACTTGATCTTAGCAGGGTTTTCTTACACTGGAGTGTAAGAAAAACACACTCCAGTAGTCTACCTGAATTTTAGAACTTCGAAGTAGCCCTGTACTTAGCAGTGCTTCCAATGAACAACAAAAAAAGCCTGGAAGATAGCCCTTTCTCGATGCTTGTACTTATCACTACTGGGAGAATAGCTTCCATCACAGCATTTATTGACTCCTTGCAGTAGACTCTGCAGGCATCATCTCATTTCATCATTCCATCAAAGCAGGGGCTGTCTGCTTTATCTGCACAGGCCTGGCACATGGTAAGCGTTCAATACCTATTTGTTCAATAAATGAATGATTATAACAGCTCTATGAAATAACGGCATGATGCACATTTAATGTATGAAGAAACTGAAGTGTGAATAGACTAAATGAATTGTCTGAGATCTTGGTAGAGCCCTGACTTGCACTGCCACCTCTCTGACTAGCACTTGTGTTGAGCAACCATTTACCTTGGTACCACCCTCCTCATTATATCTGGAGGGCTACTATCAAGGGTAGCCTTTCTTTTCTTGTAGGTTGAAGAACCTCTTTTCATCCCTAGAGGATTAGCTAAAAAGAAAGCTAAACCATCAAGGCTTATAAAATAGTGTTTCCCTGTGACCTTTTTTCTAAATCAGGAAATGGTTTCTTAGGCCCCATAGAGCCAGCTCAGAACTCTACCTCCTCCTCCTTTATCAAGACTTCCTTGACTTGGAAAGTGGTTTCTATGACAAGAAGTGTGCCAACAGTTTTTACAGGCTGCCAAAGCCTCCACCTCTTTCTTAAAGAAGCCAGGGCTTTTTCTTCTCCAGAACTTTGACACAATTAAGCAAAATCCAACTATTTTCAATGTTATACCATGGTTTCTTCAGAATATTTTAGAAACCTTGCCATATCTTAAGCAGTATTTAACATAGTGCAGGGGTTCAGTAGCAATCATTCCATAAATACTACACTTAAAGATCACAAAGAAATAAATGGATATTGATCAGAGTCAAGCAAAATTTTCACATAATTTCTTATTTAAGTAAATGTTAATTAAGGGAGGCTGAGGTGGGAGGATCACTTCAGCCTAGGAGCTTGAGGCTAGAGTAAGCAGCGATAGCACCACTGCACTCCAGCCTAGGCAACAGAACAAGACCCTGTCTCAAAAAAAAACAAAAAAACAAAACAACAGCAATAACAACAAAAAACCTCTCTATCTCTCTCTGTCTATATATATATATGAAAAATAAAGAGAAAAAAGTAATTGTCTATATATTTGTCCATATTAGTCATTTTTACTGAATACATACAATGACAAAAATGGCATATCAATGAAAACAATCTGAAGGGGAACAAAAAGTAGACTTTGTAATACCAATGGAAGAATTTTTGAATCTAGGTGGAGGGGTGGATGAAGTGGGGTTGTATAAATTGACTTGACCACATTCTTAATCTTGAAGTTGATATGATAATATTATCCAGAAAAATGCCATTCATTCATATTGAGTAATATATTACATGTAAATCACACAACACAATGTCTGGCACATGAGCTTGGTGTTTTGTTTCAGCTGTCCATGTGAGTCGTTGATATCACCTAGATACTCCTCAAGGAAAAACTTTGTAATAAAATCAGTCGTGCTTGTTTGCTTTGGATACTAGCATATGACCATATTTATCACTAGCAGAATTCATTTTGGATCCATGTTAGGGATTTCTTTCTTTTTTTTTTTTTTTTTTTTTTTTGAGATAGAGTCTCGCTCTATCACCCAGGCTGGAGTGCAGTGGCGCAATCTCGGCTCACTGCAAGCTCCACCTCCCGCGTTCACGCCATTCTCTTGCCTCAGCCTCCCTAGTAGCTGGGACTACAGGCACCCGCCACCACCCCGACGCCCGGCTAATTTTTTTGTATTTTTAGTAGAGACGGGGTTTCACCGTGTTAGCCAGGATGGTCTCGATCTCCTGACCTTGTGATCCACCCGCCTCGGCCTCCCAAAGTGCTGGGATTACAGGCTTGAGCCACCGCGCCCGGCCCATGTTAGGGATTTCTACATGAAACACAATAAAACACCAATTGCCAAATATATCCACCCCTCCATACCCACCCTAATGAAATCTCACTTATCTGCAAGACTCATCTTGAACACCACCTCCTCCATGAAGTCCTTCCTGGTCTCTTCTAAAAGCAGATATATTTTCTTGCTGTCTTGAGCATCTTAAAAGCTTTGACTTTTACCCCTCTGACAATACCGACTTTGTTCTGCCTGCTTTGTTACTGTCTCTTTGCCTTATCCCCTATTAGAATTTAAGACTCTTGAAACTCAGGACGGACCTTATCTTTACATTTCCTACAGGCTGAGCACAGGGTGTTGAACCTAGGAGCTCAATAAAAATGTGTTGAGTTGCAGTGAATCGTGACCCACCCTGGCTACCAGGCCCTCAGCCAGCTTTAGAGTACAGGACACAATAGGTCCTTGTATTCACTGCTGTGCGCACCCACAAACATACACTAAGCACCTGGAAACAAGGGGACACTTAGTTACTTGGCAAATACTTGCCCTCCCAGGGTGTCTTCCCTTTTGAAAAGGCTCCTTGGACAGCTGGCCTGCTGCTGGTTAGATGGGGCACTCCCTGGAATGGCCCATCACTGCAGCAAATGGCCAAATTCACCGTGCCAGGAACCAAGAGAAGAGAAGGGTCCAAGCATGAGAGTCTCAATGCCAAGAATGTGCTCCAGACTTATAAATGAGAGGGAAGCAGGGAGCATTGCGATGAGGGAAATGATGTTGAATTTGCACTAAAGCCTCCTCTCTCTCTCTTCCTCTTTTCCGTCTGGTCCCTTCCTTCTCCCTCCCTGCTCCCAATCTCCCATTGTCACTTGGTCCTGCAGAGCTTGGAATTCACGGCTAATCCTTAGGGAGGGGCCTCTGCTGCAGGGGGGTCAGGGCCATCGCCCACTTCCTCTGTGGGATGCGCTCACAAGATGCTGTGGCAGCACTGTTGGCTGCTCTTTATTAAATACAAATTGTACTGACCGGTTTCCAGGAACTTCAGTGGAAAGTTGATTCCCCCAAACCCTCAAGACATTTCCCAGATCCTGAAAGGATTATTATTATCTTTGTTATTATTTACAAAGCCCACATCATTTTTGTAACATTTTCTTTAAAAAGCAAGATGGAAAGATAGAGCATGCATAAGCATGCATCTTCCAGAATGCATCCTTAAATTCTGCTTCCTTCACAGGAATAAAATAACCTGTTGGATTCTGGTTGGGCAGCAAGACAGAGGGAACAGGCTTACTCTTGAAGTCCAAAACTGACAAAGTTTCTAGATTTAGCAAGTAAAAATACAGGACACCCATTTGAATTTGAATTTCAGATAAATAACGCATAATCTTCTAGGATAGGTATATCCCATATATTGCATGGGACGTACTTATCCCAGATGATTACGCGTTGTTTATCTGAAATTCAAATTTAACTGGTCATCTTTTATTTTGTCAGGCAAACCCAAGCCCAGGGAAAGTCAGGTCAGTAAAGAGATTTCCACCAACAAAAGCTCCTTTTAAAGCCCTAGCTGAATGGCTTTGGACGACATTTCAACTCAGGCCCTGCATTTTCCCTGGAGTGTGAGCTCAATGTCATAGAAAAACAATTGGGAGAATGAACATTCAGTGAACATTCTGCCCCTTCCTTGCCCTCAGCAGCCTGTGGCAAACTGCTCCCCCTTAACCAGCTGGGGAGGAAAAAAGCTTTCTCTTTTAAGATGGCTTCCCCCTCCCCTTTTACAGATTGGATTGTTTCTTGGATTTGCTGGAGAGCTGCTTTCGCTAATTGCTTGCAGACTGCAGTCCAGTCCGGCCTGCCAACTGTGGAGGCGGTGTGGTGGGGCTGAGTGATAAAGAGTAAGGGGTTTAGACGCAGGCAGACCTGATTTGGAACTCCAGTTCTTCCACTTCCTCCTGCGAAACATCAGGCAGGTTGCTTAACCTCTCTGGGCCTCCGTTTCTGCATCAGTAAAATGAGGATGCTCACGGGTGAGTTGAGAGTAACACAGGATTGGAACATGTACATACTTGTCACAGTGCCTGACCCATAGTAGGTACTCCTTTAATAGTAACCATTATTACTACTATTGTCTTTGGTATGTCACACATTACAAGTGCCACCTGGAATTGAGTCTACTTGAGCCTGAGACTTAGAAATGCAGGCAAGAGACTCTAGAAGGCTGTCAAGCACTTGTAGACAGGAAAGGATGGCTTGGTTGAAAGATGGCTCCACTGCTGTCACTAGGGGCCCTGCCCCATTCAGTCTTGCAGCAGGCTGGCAGACTGGCCACCTTAAAGCCAATGATCGGATGACAAAATGAACTTAAACTAGGTCACAACAAAAATGTGTTAGGAGTCAGAAGTCTACTTTAAGAAGTGGAAGTAAGAAGCTGGGCACGGTGCCATGCCTGTAGTCCTAGCTACTTGGGAGGCTAAAGTGGGAGGATCCCTTGAGCCCAAGAGTTGGAGTTCAGCCTGGGAAGCATAGCGATATCCTGTCTCTAAAAAAAGAAAAAGATGTAGAAAAGGGAGAAGGAGAGAGAGATGGAGAGAGAAAAAGAGAACTCCTTGGCTTTATTGTTGAAAATCACCTCTTTTTCTATGTGGGTGTGGGTGTAGTGGCCATGTGTCTGGATCTCATCACCATTCTTCTGGTCATTGTTCTGGTCCCCTTCCCTCAGACCTTCTTTGGAGGGTGGTTCAGATGCAGTCGTGGCCCATGTGACACAGGCCTAAGCCACCAGCTCATCAGATCCCCTGCCCCTGCCAAGAGGTGAGTGTAGCATTGGGCACCCGACTCAAGAGGAGCTAAACAAAAGCAAGGAAATCTAGTCCCAGGCCTTGCCTGGATGATTAAAAGAAGGATGAACTTTCCCCTCCTAAACTTTGAAACTGCAAGCAAGTGAAGTCTTAGAACCACCACAGACATCTCACAACCACAAACATGGAATCTTTTGAAGAACTGGAATAGAAGGAACTCAGCCATCTGAGACAGACACACACACACACACACACACACACACAGAAATCCTGTGACATCTTTTGAGTTTCTGTACCCATCCCTGAACTATTCACTGGCAGGCCCAAATACATCCAATTTTTTTTGTTGTTTAATTCTGTTTGAGACAGGCTTTCTGTTACTTGTGGATACAGATACAACATGTCTCCCTGTCTCCTAGTTCACTTCTGTCTGCCTAGTGCTTGATCTTGGAATCTGTCTCTATTTGTAGCTACTGGTACTCTTTGGGCTCATCTTAACTTGCTTATTTGCCAGTGGTCAGGGGTTTCAGCCTTACGCCCCTACCAGCCCTGACACTTCTGTCCCCAAAGGTCACCTTAGGATGACAGGAAGGGAGAAATGGCTGTTGGCTGGTTGCTGTACAAGAAAGTGCCTGGCACTGTGCTGAGAAATTTATTCCACTAAATCCTCCAGCAACCCATTTTACAGATGAGGTGACTGAGGTCCAGAAAGTGTATACGTTTCCAAGGACTGCCATAACCAAATACCACACACACACTGGTGGCATAAACAACAGAAATGTATTTGCTCACTGTTCTGGATGCTAGAATTCCAAGATGAAGATGTCAGCAGGGTGTTTCTTCTGAGGCCTCTCTCCTGGGCTTGCAGACGGCCACCTTCTCAGTGAGTCCTCACGTGGGTTTTTCCTCTGTGCGTGCACATCTGTATCCTAATCTCCTCTTTTTATAAGGAGACCAGTTATATTGAATTAGAGGCTTAACCTAATGACCTCATTTAACCTTAATTGCCTCTTTAAAGCCTTGTCTCCAAATACAGTCACATTCTGAGGTACTGAGGGCCAGGACTTTAACATATGAATTTGAAGGGGATGAAGCTCAGCCCTATAAAGAAAATGCTATATGATTAAAAAGGAGGGAGAAATTGCAGTAATTGAGGGTGGGTTGAGAGGTTAGAGGAGGTAATGAAGGAAAGGGATATGGAATCAGGAAAGGATTCAGGAAGGAGATGTTTCCACATAAGAATCAAACTGCCTGGAAGTAAATCCTGGCCTGACTACCTACTGGCTATATCATCATAGACAACATATTTAGCCTTGATTTCCTCATATTTAACTAACAATTGTATGAATTATTAATTGGTACTAATAATTGTATCAATCCCATAGACTTCTTGGGAGGAACCAATGGGATAATCCCATGAGTATTAGAACAGCACTGACACACAACATCTCAATAAATGTTGGCTATTATTATCTAAGATGTCTCAAATAATAGGTTGGAGCTATATAAGTAAAGGAAGAGATTTGTGGCTAAGACAGATAAATAAAGAGATGCTGAGACTGACCTTATTTGTGTGAGTAATGAATTTGGACTTAGTTTTATAGGCAGTAGAGTTGAGCAGGGGCTGTAACATTATTACCAGTAGATGTACGCTGTGGAAAGATTGCACTCACCAAGATGTGTGAGATGCATTGGAGGGGGAAGAAGGCACGACAGAAAGACGGGTCTCAGCAGGAGGCCGTTAGGGAAGAATGGCTGAGAAGTAATGTCAGCATGAAGCAGAGGGGGCGACTCAGGTGGATGAGGGCAACGAGAGAGAAGAAACCATGGAGATCAAATAGACAAGCTCGGCCACCAGTTGGATATCACGGGTCAGGAGAAAGAAAAAGACAAAGTTTCAGAACTACAAAAAAAATTGGTTGTTACCTGCAGCAGGTCTGTTACTTTGTTTTTTGTTTTTGTTTGTTTGTTTGCTTGTTTTTGTCTATCCCACATTCCCTACCAGCCCTCCCTTCCTCATTTCTAACAGAAATCCAGTTTTGTTCAAATATTCAGCCTCTTCTAAGTGGCCACTGCTTCAGAGAAGATTGACTCATCTTCAACCTGAGGAATGAGTCTTGATTTGTCCCAGACAACTCCATTTCTCCAAGTCATGCAGGTGGCTCCATTTGTCCACATCATCCAGGTGGCTCCATTTGTCCATGCTTTCCAGGGATTGTATTAGGCATAAGCAGCTGCAGAAATTCTTAGCAAAAGAAGCAAAGGAATGGAAACCACCCCAATGCCCATCCACCAAGAAATGGATAAGCAGAATGTGGCATATCCACACAATGGAATATTATTCAGCAATAAAAAAGAATAAGGTACTGATTCACAGTACAACAATGATAAGCTCAAAAGAGTATGCTAAATGAAAGAAGCGAGACACAAAAGGCCACATATTATATGAGTCTGTTTAAACAAACTGTTCAGAATAGATAAATCCATGTGGACAGAAAGTGTATTAATGGTTGCCAGAGACTGGGGAGAGAGGGGAGCAAGGAGTGATTGTTAATGGACAAAGGGTTTCTTTTGGGGCAATGAAAATGTTATAAAATTTATTGTGGTTATGGCCACACAATTCTGTGGATGTACTAAAAGGCCATTGAATTATAGACTTTAAATAGGTGACTTACATAATATGTAAACTGTATCTCAATGAAGCTGTTAGTAATTTTTTTTAAGGAGCAAAGGGAAGACTGCTAAGGAGACTTCCAAGAAAGCTTCTGCCACTCTTAAACAGAAACAAGAAAGTTGGCTACTTTTCCTCTGGAGGCTGAATATAGCCTCTAAATATGACCACTAGAGCTATTAGAGGGGTCTAACTACTGTGAGAGGAGCCAACAGAAGCCAGAACTGATACACACATCGAGGCAGAGCTGAGAGAAGCACCTCAACTTCTCACTAGTTGAGATAATACATTTCTTTATTTTAGGCACTTGAATTGGGGTATTCTGTCATGTATCCCAGGTATTCTAACAGATACAGTTCTATTAATAGAAATTGTTAGGTTGGAAGAAGATCTTTTATTTTTAGACCTTATGAATTTATGAATTTATGTCCATTTAAAAGTGGAAGTGTAATGTAAGTGAAATTTAGAGGTGTAATTCTAGATCTGAAGAAGGGGATGGATGGGTGGATTGATGGATTGATTGATTGACTGAGGAGTTACATGCTCAGAGCTGAAGGCTGAAGCCCAAGGGTGAGGACATAGAGAATGCAAAGAAAAGTCTGAGCTACATGGACTCCCTACATTGAGTAGGAGGAAGAGGAAGAGAAATCAGTGAAAGAAACTGAGAGAAGGTCTGTATAAAAGGATGAGGGAAAGCTTGAGATGCTACATGTGCTGTTATGCAAACCAAAAAGTGAATTCAGGAAGAAACGAGATAAAGTTTGGATCAAATTCCGCCAAGAAACCAAGGCAGAAGTAGCAAAGATAATGTGGTTAGATAGACAAGGTGATCACTGTAAGGAAAAGATAAGGCAAAAACAAAGGTAGTTTCGTGGAGTGATTGTGGCAAAAACCAGATTTGAGAAGATGTGGGTTGGAAGACAGTGGTGGACACCGAAGAAGTAGTGGCACTTCCTTATGGAAGTTGTTGTGGAATGCATTACTGTATTCACCAATATCTGGTTCTACTCCCGTTCCAGGCACACGGAAAATGGTACTTCCCAGCGTCCTTGCACTGTGGAAGAGTATGTGGTAGTTCTTCAGAGAAATGTGAAGTGGGTTCTTTCTGGACTGAGGCAGGGAAAAGCCTGTGCCAGATTCATCCCTGCTGCAGTGGTCATGGGGGAGGCCCTGTGCAGAAACAACAAAACTGAAAGATGAAAAACCCGTGATTGCTGAATCACTGAATACAGCATAAGTCCTCTTGAGAAAAGCCACCCAATCTTCTGTGGCCATTGCATGTACAAGAAATAAACTTATTTAAGCCACTAGGAAAGCAGCAAAAGAGAACAGCAAAGTTGAGGAAAAGAGTTTTGTTTTTGTTTTTGATTTTTTACATATTTATGGTAAGTAAGACCAAACCATGTTTGCTAGGAAAATGGAAAGAGAGGAATAACCTGAAGATGACAAAGCAATGGTCTAAAGAAATCAGAAAGTATGGCAACACACAAGCCACGAGGTGAGTCTCCGCCCTTCTTCCAAGAGAGATGTAAAAATCTAGGCCCAGGATGAATACCCGGCAGTTTTAGTTGGAGAGGGAAGTTGAGGAAGCCCACCCTCCTTAGTCCACGTACTAGACTTCTGAGACAAGCAAGCAGAGGCTGGAATTTGGAATCTTAGGAGCAGAGCAATTTCAAGGGATGACGAGCGTCTACGACAGAAATAACCATGCATGCAATGATCGCCTCTGCATATCAGCCTCCTGGCAGCTGTCCATGTAGGATGACTGGCAAGGAATGATATAAACTGCATTTCATTCTCTTGGTTCAAATTCTATAGGCAGCAGAATTATCATTATTTGAAAAGTAAAGTCATACCCAGAAAGGGTTAAAACTCTTCTTTTCCCAAGTTCTAGCCTGCCACCCCCACTATTTCCCCAGTCCTTTAACTAAATTAGCTATTCCATTGACAGGCCAGCACTGGTCCCTCACAGAACAACACATGCTGTGCTCTCTCTGTGAGTGCACTCGTGGTGAACTTTGAGCCACACATCTGCTGCAGGGAAGAAACTCTTATTCCCAAATGGCTGACATTAGCTGAGGATGCTGGGTTCATCGCTACCATAGCATATTGTTATTAGATAAGCTGCTGGAGAATCAGAGGAGTAAATTTAGTTATTATGTCTTTACCTCATTATAGTGCATTCCCAACTATTGTTCATTTCATCAGCTTGATATTGTTCTATGTTTCTACAAAGTGAATGCTTGGATTAAAACCAGTATCTACTCTCCTTTACCCCTAAGCCATTGCTGTATCTAGGCTAAGGATGTATTTTCACCATGTCATTTCTCCAAGACTCTTTCTTTGATTTAAAGCATGAATCAGCAAACATGTTCTATAAAGGGCCAGATAGTAAACATTTCAGTCTTTTTTGGGCCATATGACCTCTCTTGCAACTACTCAACTCTGCTGTTGTAGTCCAAAAACCATAGATAATAACTAAATGAATGGGCATGATTGTGTTCTACTAAAACTTTATTTACAAAACCAGGCAGTGGGTTGGATTTTGCCCATGGGCTATTCTTTGTCAACCCTGGTTTAAAGTATGGATTCGCAAGAAAGCTTCAGGTGAACAGACAGATTTTTAAAGTATCTTTTCACATGTTCATCTCTTAGAAGGAAAAAAAAGACATTTTGCTGGACTCTTTTTACCCTCTGCAGACAACAGTATGGTATTTTTCCCCTTTTAATATTTTGCATCTTAAGTTTTTAGATTCCTCCTCCACTGCCAAAAAAAAAAAAAAAAAAAAAAAAAAAAGTGAAGGGAGAAGAATTTTAATTCAGAGAAGAGAGGGTTAAATGGTTAAAAAATTAGAGGGTGAAAGTATCACTTATCTGCAAACACAGCCTCTTCTTTAGAAACTGATTTACCCAGACATTGAATTGATTATAAGATATGTAGAGTAAAAACAAATTTGCTGACCTTCATTTCAGAGAGCAAAGGTTAAATTCATACCCTGTAGGATGGTGCTGCTAAATTGCTCCCAAGCTGCCTAGTGACATATTTTCAAAAAATATCTCTCTCCAACTTTATCAAGTGTTCTTTGTGTTCTGGAAACATGATTTTGAGTCCCAGCTGGAGCTGGGACCTCATAAGTCTTAGATAGCTGAAATTCTTCTCCAACTATATCCAGAGGCATATGGCTAGTTGGGATAGACGTTAATTGCAGGGATTAATATCTCTGAGTCTAGTTGTTTATTGAAGACTGAAATTAACATTTTTAAGCTAGATAACCAAGGGTTGCACAAACCGTGCATAGATAAAGGGCTAAAAATGTCCATTTTGATGTCTTTGACATTGGGCTGAATAAATATGTCTTGGATTGTAATATCTGGCAATGACTGTGTGTTCTCAGTTTCTTTGCCTTTAAGCAATGCCTCAGAGGAGAACTTCAACAGTTCAAAAGTTGGGAAAACTGTACACACAAAAAATTGATCCAACACAATAACATTTTTAAAATATTAAGCAAATTTTCTGTCTCTTTCATTGCAAGCTAATACAAAACACTCCAGTAGTAATAGTTCACAAAATTCATTTCACAGCAAAGTTTTCCTAGTTCTTAGTGAGATGAAAAAAAAAATAGGACACTGATGTAAATATTTTATATAGCTAAGCGCATTTCATTTAAAGAGCCATCCTTTAGTCTAAATTATGCCTATTTGTGTGTTTAGTAACTAAATTTTATTACTTTTAATTAAATAACTAGTTACTTAGTAAAATAATACATTAGCAACCCTATATTGGTCCCTACTTGTTTTATTTTATTATTATTATTTTGTGTAGAGTCAGGATCTTTCTCTGTTGCCCAGGCTGGAGTGCAGTTGTTTGATCATAGCTCACTGCACCCTTGAACTCCTGGGTCCAAATAATCCCTCTGCTTCAGCCTCCCCAGTAGCTGGGAGTACAGATGCCTGCCACCACATCTGACTAATTTTTAAATTTTCTGTAGATATGAGGTCTCGCTATGTTGCCCAGGCTGGTCTCAAACTCCTGGACTTAAGCAAGCCTCCCATCTTGGCCTCCCAAATGCTAGGATTATAGGTGTAAGCTACCGCACCCAGCTCCCAGTTGTTTTAAACCACAGTTATACTATTTAATGAGAAGGGAATTGAGAAAAGGAAAGGGTGTTATTGAAACTTTAATTTCTTCCATTTGCTAGCTCAACAGGCAGTAACAAATCTGGATTTTTTTTCTTACAAAGTTCAGAAGGTATGTCATTACTGACCCCTTAGAATCTAAAGCGTAAAACACTAAGCTGAATAATTTTTTGTCTTTTGGCAGCTGTATGTGTACACTCGTGAAGAGGTCTCATCACTGAGATAGTAGGAGGCATATATCAGTACACCTTATTTAGTGGGTGTAGAAACTGAAAATTGTTTTTTCCAACTGTGAGAGAAATGAAAATTAAATCCAAATATCCACACAGATATCATTTCATTGATACACCACATACTTCCTATTGTAGCCTGAAGCAAATCAATAGCAATTTAATCATTGGATTTTCCAGTAAGATACCTATCAGGTGATCTTGAATATCTTCTTTGTCCTCACCAAGACTTGGCTTCTTAATCTATAAATGGTGAGAATAAAATGTCCAATCTCATAGGAGTGGTTGGGGATTAAATGAGACAATGCATATAATACACTACTTACTGTCATAAAATAAGTGCTCAGTAAATGATTTGTGTTATCATTTGAATTACATGCATATACATATGACCTTGACATAAACAGAAAAGATTGCACGTAACCTGAGGGAATAAAGAGATCCCTATTAACCCCAATCAAGAATGCTTGCCTGACAGTGGGATTGAGCTACAAACCTATTATTTCAGCTACAGAAAGTTATATAATACCAATCGAAGCTCCTTTGGATATAAGGAACAAAAACCTACTCAAAGTAGCCCAAGAAAGAAGGAGGGTTATTTCATCAACAATTTATCCAACAGACAGAGTGCCCACTCTCTGCCAAAACATGGCAGCATCTTGTGGCAAAGAAGTCCCATCAGATATCATGGCGGGGTTTGGAAACCATTCCTTCTAGTTTTCAAAACCTTCATGGTCTTTCTCATATCTTCTCATGCCTTCATTACCCTTTGCTATGATCTGAATGCGTCCTCCAAATTTCACTTTGAAGCTTAATGACCAATGTGATAGTATTAAGAAGTGAGGCTTTAGGAGGTGGTTAAGATGAAAAGGAAGCTGTCTTGCCCTTCTGCCATGTGAGAACTCTGCAAGAAAACACCATCTGTGAAGCAGAGAGCCCTCACCAGACACTGAACCTACCGCCACCTTGATCTTAGACTTCCCAGCCTCTAAAATTGTGAGCAATACATGTCTATTATTTATAAATTACCCAGTTTAAGGTATTTTGTTACAGCAGCCTGAACAGACTGACTCCCTTTGTGCATCTACTCCATTTTTCTCTGTTTCTCTCCTTACCTTTTTTTTTTTTTTTCTGAGTGCTCATTTTGGGCATGGTCCAATATTGCTAATTTAGCCTCAATCTCCAGTTTCTCCTCACTCAAGGATTTATACCAACTGGAATCTTCTTCTCTGTGATTTAAAACTCTTAAAAGAAGGGATCTGATTGGCTTTACCAGTCTGTGGCTCTCCTTGGGGCCAGACGATGTTAATCAGCTGAAGCCACAGCATAAGGAGAGTTGGGGCTCTCGAGTGTGCAAACATGATAACCTAGGTTCACACATTTCAGGTCACGGTAGAGGTGCAACTGTGATAAATGGGCCTACTGTATGCCCTAGTCTCCAAGAGAATTGGGGGGTAAAGTGATAATGGTCCCTCACAAATCTATCTCTACAGTGAAGAAGAAAACTAAAAGACATATCTCCATAGAAAGTACACTTTCCTGTATTTTATTTAAAGGGCAACATGTGAACTCCTGGTTTCACATTATGCCCAAGTCTTTTGAGAAACACATCCAACAGTGGTTTGTGCCTATTTCATACTTGTTTTATTTGGCAGCAACATGAAGATCGTGTTTCAAATAAAATCCAGTACTGTCCTTTATACGTTTCATTAAGCATTATATGCTGTTCCTGTCCTCTTTTTCACAGTCATGCCCAGGTATACTTCTCAGACTCCTTTTGTGGGAATATTTTTGCTCATTTTTACATTATGGTTTCTCGTAGCCAAAAAATAAATCTGACATTTGACATAGGGTTGGAGGATTTGGGGAAAATAAAAGTCCCTTATCAACTCATTGTTTATATCAATGAACTAATAAAATTGCTTTTACTTGATAGTGTTTAGAAAAAACTGCCGGGAAACCTAAAACTGAAATATGTTCCTGAAGAGAACAGGATAGAAGGAGGATGGGGGAGATTGTGAGACTGAAAGTCTCAGCCCAGGCTCTGCCCTCACAAGCCATGTATCCTTAGGCAAATTACATAACCTTTCTGGGCCTCAGCTTTGCCTCATTAATCATATAGGGGTGATACTGCCTTGAGCTTGAGCTTGAGCTCACAGGTTTGTTTGAGGACACAATGAAATAAAAATGTGCTCTCACAAGAGTATTTTCATGATTTGAGACTATGCTTCCAAAAGTGGAAGATGCTAGTTAAAAGAATAAAAATCTCTCCTAAGGCCAGGAAGCTGACTATAGCTGCCTCCTTTGCTGTGTGACTCCCTCGAATTGATTTCTGGTTGCCTCAGCAGCAGATGAATCCAAACCCTTTGTACTAACTCTGCCCTGTTCAATTCCCCACAGTCTTGTGGACAGATCCTGTCATATTTGTTTCCCTGCTGTTTCTTAGATCAGTCCTTCCAAAGGTTAGACACTTACCTCTCATGGTGATTTGAAAACTAAATCAGTCAACACATGCTAGTAACACTTGTTCATCAGGCGTTGTGTAGGCTGTGATTTTATAATAATAAAAAAAGCAATATTCCGGGAGGTCTTTTAAGCATTTACATCAATGTTGTCATCTGAGGTTCATGACAAACCCCTAAGGTATATTATTATTATTTTTCCCCAGTTTTATAAATTGAAAATTGAGGCAGAGAAAGTAACTTGTCAGGGGGTAAACAGCCTATTAGTTGTGGGACCAGGCTGTGAATTCAAATGATAACTAGAGCCTCCTCCCAGACTCCAAGGAGTTTATAATCTACCAGGAGGTTTGTATATCACATCCTACTAGCCATAACACAGAATGACATGTCCCAGCCTAGTGCTGTGGGATGAGGGAACTCAGATGTGGGTTGGATTATTTCTGCCTGTTTCTATTAGGACAGCTTCCAAGGTGGGTTGAATCCTAGGACGAGCCAAGCTGACCAGACTTCCCTTGTCACAATCCACTTGAATCTACCCACCAGAATTTTAGATATAATTCCTGCCACAGTTTTCAGTAGCCACATAAGCCTATGTGTCAGTGAAATGGAGGCAAACAAAAATAATAATTAAAAAACCCAACCCCTCAGCTGAGTGGTAAAATACTTAATGCTTAATGATAGTACAAACTATCTACCACCCAACTTTCCATCCAGCATGCATTCACCTCAGGCAGCTCATAAAAGCTGAGACCCTGGAGATCATCTAGTTCAATTATAACAAATAGATTTCATTTCATGTGTCTACTCCAGTCTACTGAGAGCGGATTTGCTGCTGGAACACTGGGCTTAGAGGCATGCTGAGGCCGTCAGAAATCAAAGGAAAAAAAAAAGTGCCACAATTGATTAGTGATGTCTGACATGGGCTCAGGAGTGGAGAATGATGACACATGTGCAACACATACACCAGACACAATCTGATCCAACTTGCTTGTTTTACAGAAGAGGAAACAGTACTCCAAAATGGAAGATTGTGTGCCCAAAATCGCTTTGCAGGTTAGTGGCAGAGTTACTTGATTCCCTGTTAAGTGATAATTGATGCTCACAGGATCAGCAGCAAAACCAGCAAGAAAATTACATTATGCTTAGTACAGTATTTGTGTTAAGTGTATTTTATTCTGATTCCTTGAAAGCTGCTGATCCATGTAATGTAACTCCATTCATTGGAATATTTGATTATTCAGAGCATTCTCTGACTTGGCTGCATAATGGGAAATAACCATCCCCCAGGCAAGAAGCAGTTTATTCTAGAAAAAAGAAAAGACGACAGTTCAAGGTCTACATTCATTTTCAAAAGGACCAGTGACAAACATTTATATAAGTGGTACTGCTGACCAGTTTGACCTAAGCTTGTCAGTAAAACTTGACAAAATGAAAGGCATTTGAAGGAATGATGGCTCTCTAAACAGCAAGCTTGGCTAGGCTAAACCTTGGTGGCCAGATTTCTTCATCTCTAAACATTCTTGAAGTATGAGCTCTTCAAGATGTGAGCCCCGAGGGACAAGTGGGACTGCAAAGGTAGAGAGGAAGAAAGGAGGGCATGCCAAGTAGGGGGATGCATATACAAAGCTTCCCGGTCTGAAGGAGTGCAGCCCTTTGATGGGAGCAGGTGGAGTCTTGGGAGCACTTGAGAAGCAAATGCACCAGAGTGGAAAGAGCCTGGATTAGGCACTTAGACGACCTCAAACTCAATCCGAACTCTGTCACTTGCTAGCTGCAGAATCCCAACACAGGTTTCCTTGCAACCTCTCTGGGTCTCAGTTTCCTCATCACAAACAAAAGACAACACCACCTATCTTTCAGAAGGATGCTGTCAAAATTGAATGAGATAATTATGTCAAACACCCATACATGATAACTGGCATTTAGTAGGTGCTCAACACATGGTCAGGTCCAGTCATGAATAAACATGCTGTCTTAGTATATTTTGTAGTAAAAACAATACTAGGGCAGGAGCGAGAAGCCCTGAGTTCTGGTCCCAGCTCTATTACAAATGCACTGGAGTCCTTGGACCCTCTGCCTTGCACACTGCCAGCATTAAATAAATATTTACAGAATGAATAAATACACGAATAAGAAAATCCAAGAAAGATTTTACGTAAACTTGTTAGGCTCCAGTTTTCTCATCTATCAAAGGAAGACTGGCTTCTCAGATGTCATTTAATAATAAAGTTATTTTGATATCTGTATTTCATGCAGCTGAAAGCATCCACTATAATTTGAGCACTGTCTTGGGCATGAGACCGAAGTGCCAGGGAAGTTCATAGAATGCAGCCCTGACCCCAGCAGTCCCTTGGCTTAATGGCACCTGAAGTCTTGACCCTGCCCACCCCAAAATCCTAAAATGCTTTGCTCCTTCTTCGAGCTGACTCCAAGCAAAGGAAAGCAGATTTCAAAACAAAGTATATAGCCGTGGGTGGAATTGAGGGCTGGGGATGTGTTTCTGCCACAACTCATTCATATGAACTACTGGCACCAGCATTGTCCTCTTTCTGGATTTTCAGCCTCCTCAACTGTGAATCGGGAACTGCTAATTAGAGGGTTTATGCTTCTCAGTCACCAAGAAAGTCAGAATGCCCTGTCCACCCTTGGCCCTTCACTGCAGATGGACACCAGCTTGTTCAGTGGGAAGGGAGTAGCAGGGAAGGTGTGCTGAGCCATCAGGGTACCAGCTCAGCTCAGGGACCGTCACACTTTTCCTGGTTTCCCATTCCCCAGAGGAGATTCCCCTGAAGGGTGGGCTCAGATCCCAGAAGGGGGCAAAGGAGCTCAGGAGCAGGGGGACAGTAACATTCATAAGAGGAGAGTTCAAAAGGAAATAGCACAAGCTGGAAGTAATTGATGTGTCTTTAATGCTTTAAATATGCCTGCTTTTGTTTATTTTTTTAAATCTCAACAAGTCACAGACACTGAATGGTAAATTAGAGTTCTATTCCTCCCTTTTGGTACTCCCCCTTAAGAGGAGCTTTTATATGGCTTTTAAAGATAAAACTTCAGAAGGCCCTAGGTCTGTGCCCAGGAGTCAGGTAAAGCAACCATATGACTAAGGGAGGGAAGCAGCAAAGACTGGCTGATGTGCCCTTCCTGAAAATGAGGTAGAAACCGGGAAGTACAATTAGGTAGAAACCAACAGTTAAGTTTGCTGGGAGTTGATGAAAGCAAGAAGTCACAGGACCAGAGAAGTCAGGGGAGCTGTTTGTAATTCACATGAGTGCTAATAGGAAATCACTGTAGGTTTCTAAGCAGAGTAGGAACATTAGGAAAATTCTATTGATGAAAGATATTTCTAGTACCTCTTTTTGCACAGATGAGAATAAATGGTAGGAAGGGCATGTTGACCTACTAAATAGATCATATTTAGACTTGGAAATAGCAATGATGAGGCTAGGCTGTGATTTTTCTAACCTGTGATTTACTCAAATAACAAAGATGTTTTGAGTGCCATGCAATATCATTTAGTTATGTAACCATTTACTCAACAAATAATTATTAAATACTTACTATGTGGTCATCCCTCTTGGAGATACAAAAGAGGAAGAAATTCATGGTCTCATCAGCATAAGTGTATACAAATATGTTAAAAAGAAAAATACAAAATAGGACACAATTAGTTACCCAAGAAGTAGTGCAAATACTGGATGATATAAACAATCTGTTGAAAAATTCCTTGAGAGCTGGGGATGTCTGGATAGGGCAGGTAAATGACAGGTGGGGGCAGGTGGTTGAGGCAAAGAAGTATTCCAGGCTGTGGGAAAAGTTTGGCAAAGATTTGGAGGGAAGCATGAGGAGAGTATTGAAGGCTCTTGAGGGTGGGGCCTGTCTGAGATGAAAGTATTCAAATGCTCTCTTGGAAACAAAGAGGAAGGCTTCCTGACTTTTGAGACAGAGCTCACCACTTTAAATGGTGATTTAAGATGAAGAATCCAGCCACCTTGTTTGGGGTGAGTTAGAGGCAGGGGAATTGAGGTAGGAGAGCTCAGCTGGGGCCTACACTGGTTATCCAGAGGTGAAGAGATAGGCCTGGGAGGCTGGGTCAGGCATAGCTTATCCTAACAGTGGGTGTCCATTGGCCCTTTCAAATATTCCAGGGCCCAGCCAGCCGTCCAAGCTGTCCCAAGGACAAATTGGACACCAGTGTTCCAAGCCCTGCTCATGCCAGGAAATGAATACTTCTGGTGCCTAGGAGGGGCCTGGAGAATGGAACAAAACCCCAGGAAAGTGTGCTTCCCATCTGCAGCCCACATCCCCGGCAGCCCGCCCACCATTGTGGAAAAGGGGGATTAATAAGATGCAGACCATCCGAGACCTAGCCTTATATTATTCATTTTTCTTGGAAATGTCTAAGGTTCTGTGATCCCTCTCTAGTCTCATATGCCATACTTAGCTTATATTTTGACAGGCACAGGGCTGTTGCTTGGGCCAGCATCTGCTTTAGCATGGAGGAGGCACTGCCTTTAGTCCATACTGAGGGCAGGCCACCATAGTGCGCGGGCACCCATTCCAGGTGGCATCAGTTAGCCCCAGGAGCCCAGCTTTCTGGGGCTAATCACAGAGCAAGAAACCAGAAAATCGGGAGTCTTTTATTTTTTTTTTCCTTGTTTTTCTTTTTGAGACGAGGTTTTGCTCTTGTTGCCCAGGCTGGAGTGCAATGGCGTGATCTCGGCTCACTGCAACCTCTGCCTCCTGGGTTCAAGCGATTCTCTCACCTCAGCCTGCTGAGTAGCTGGGATTACAGGTGCCTGCCACCATGACCAGCTAATTTTTGTATTTTTAGTAGAGATGGGTTTTCACCATGTTGGCCAGGCTAGTCTCAAACTCCTGACCTCAGGTGATCCACCCGCTTTGGCCTCCCAAAGTTCTGGGATTACAGGCGTGAGCCACTGCGCCCAGCCCTCTTTTTTTTTTTTTTTTCATTTGAAGGCAATAAGAGATTTTCTTGAGTATCAAACTGAATTAAATTTCTGAGTTTAGAAAAGCCATAAGAATTTTCATTTGCTCTATAGTGCTCTAGTTCCAGACCTTGAGCATCTCTACAAGTTTCTCTTTCTAGCTGAGACCCTCTGTTTTATTTTTCTGAATAACCTGTAATTTATTCTATTACCTAGTAATGTGTACCCGGGTTAGCCTGCTTTGAACCAAAGTTATCTTGGCTTTCTGTATCAGATCACACTCCTAGAGTGAGGATCACTTTCTACCATTGGGAAGACAAGATGTTTTGAGGAAGGTTGTGATCTTTCATTTTTTAATTAAAAATGGTAAAACAAAAACCACAAAGCTGTTATATATTTTAACCCAACTGATGAAAAGGTTATTTCTGCAAAATATATGAGTCCATACCCTTTCAGAAGACCTCTAATTAACTGAGTGGTCTGTCCCTGACTGTCCTGTTTCGTTTGACGAACTTTGCTGCTTCTTCCTTGTTTTCTAGTCACTAGTAACAGCAGGTGTTATCTCCTAGTGTCATATCTTGAGAGTGCCGCCCAGCAGGGTGTAGCACAATACTGGTCTTAGAAGTGTTCTAAAGGCTTGTTTAATAACCACCCCAAATGGATGTTTGAAAACCAATCTGTTTTTCCCCAGGCCTGATCCTGCTGTCTCCCATCCCACCCCTCACCCCCTAATTGAGCTGCACTCACTCATAATTACTGTAGCCTCCAGGCCTACTGAACTAACTGCTAGAATGCCAAGAGCCTATCTTGGTTGCCCTAACCAGCGCCTGGGCAACAGCCCACACACCACACCTTTCTCTGCCTGTCCCCCACATCAGTGGGTACCCAGGGACTGCAGCATCGTGGAGTTGGATTATTTCCAGATAAAGACATTGAGTTGTGGAGAAAGTATGCTAAACACCCGGGTTTTTTTGTTGTTGTTGTTGTTTAGCAGGTTGGTTTATTCCTTTGATTCCTCTTCCTGCCTTTCTTTTGGAAAATCATTTTTTCTCCACATTTCCAGCATTTATGGTTCTTGAGGGGTTGAGCCACTTCTGTGCTCCAGAGAAAAGCATACAACTCACACCAGGTCAGTTTGCTTCCCTGCTTTCAGCCGTTAATTTAGGATGTGGGTGTGTGACCCAAGCCAATCCAATAAGTGTCATTCTCAGGATTTTTGCTAGACCTATTGGAAAAGAGATTCTGTGTTTCTGCTAGGTTTGAAAGCTGATAGATTATAACCTAGATGCTTCTGGGAGGTCATTATATTACTTAAAAGGAGCACCTTCTAGAGTACTAAGCCAAGACACAAAATCAGAGATGAAAGATAGGAAAAATACAGATATCTTATGACATTATTTGAGCCCCTAGATCCAGCTGTGCCTGAAGCTAACTACCCCTGAACTTTTCAATTACATTAGCCAAAAAATTTCCCTCTACTGCTTAATGCAGTTTGAGCAAACGCTACTTTCCTGGAAGAGCTTCTGTAGCCTGATGCCTTGAGACTTGGAGCCTATTATTAATGCAGGGTTCCTATTCTTATTGATATGCTAAAACCCAGGAATGGATTGATTCATTTCTATTTTATCTGCAAAGATACGATATAGAGATATATAGCTTTTATGAACTCTACAATCATTTCCAACTCATTTTAATCAATATCCTTGATCTTTTCTTTCCCAAACATGACTAAGTAATGAATAAGTAGCAAAAATTACAGATGAGGCCGGGCACGGTGGCTTACACCTAATCCCAACACTTTGAGAGGCCAAGATGGGTAGATCACCTGAAGTAAGGAGTTAGAGACTAGCCTGGTGAACATGGCAAAACATCATCTCTACTAAAAATACAAAAATTAGCCTGGCATGGTGGCGTGCACCTGTAATCCCAGCTACTCGGGAGGCTGAGGCAGGAGAATCGCTTGAACCAGGGAGGTGGAGATTGCAGTGAGCCAAGATCACGCCATTGCACTCCAGCCCAGGTAACAAGAGCAAAACTCCATCTCGGAAAAAAAAAAAAAAAAAAAAAAATTACAGATGGTTTCCCTATGTAAGGGCTAACAGATAATGAATGGTCTAAATGTGAGGAGCAGCAACATGCAATCTGTCTGATGCACAAAACTGGTGCCTTGTTCTCAAAACAGTGATCATGGACACATTATTTACAATTTAAGCGAAGCCCCTCTCCAGAGTTGGTCCATCAGAGCTAGGGAAAAGGACTTCCCAAGGCAAAGTTATTTTTCTTCCATAGACCTGAAGACTAAATCTGTCAGTTAGAAAGACCTAAACACAAACCAGGAACTTTGAAATTAGACAGATTTGGATTTAAATTCCAAGGTTTGTTATTTACTAGTTATATAAACTCCCAGCCTTGTCGAATTGTTCAGTCTATTTTCTTAGCCTTGGTTTCCTCACCCAGGAATGGAACCATCTCATAGGGGTCAATGAAATTTTAAATCTAAGTGCTTTGGTCACTAGCATATAGTAAGCACTCAATAATAGGTAGCCATTATTAGTATAACTACTAATAGTAATATTAATTGTACTATAATTAATATAACTAGTAATAGTAATAATAATAATAATAGAGATACTAGGAGTTTACTCACTCCTATTTAAAATTCATATGTGTGCTGTAACCAAAATTTTAGGCCTGCAAATAGGATTAAGAATAATTACCATAGATAGGCCTTGGTGTTCTCAGCCTGGCATGTAAGGATTAGGATAGCAAAGAGAAGAAAGAAGGATGTTTTGGTTGGTTTGATTGAGTTAAATACAAATACCTTGACTAAACCATATTGCTCAAATATAAGATTTTGTACACCAATTTTTGCTTACTTTCAAGTCAAGCAAAATGTCACATTTAAGATAATACTAACCACTCTTTCAACAGTTGAATTATACAAACTTTATAAAAATATGAAAGTTAATACATTCCATTCATTTGTTCAGCCTCTACAAATAGCAAGCAAAATGACATATTAATTTTTAAAAAGGAACATGTTTTAAATGCACTGTACAATATTTTGTTTTTAAAATAAGGCATAAAATGGAAAGAAAACTGAAAATGAAAATGAAGGTAAAAACTGAATAAAACAATGCCACAAAAATCACACAGAAAAACAAGGTAATACCAATGAATGTAAAAATATCATAAATATGCATATGATTATGGTTCATTCAGACCCTGTTAACTGAGTTTTTTTTTTTTTTTTTTTTTTTTTGAGACGGAGTCTCGCTCTGTCACCCAGGCTGGAGTGCAGTGGCGCGATGTCTGTTAACTGAGTTTTAAATGAATTTACAGGGTCAGATTTTCCTTCACACCAAACCTGAGTCTTATATTGGTAAAGGAAAGAGAAAAGGGAGTTGCAGTTCCCCAAATGACTTTGGAGTAAAAGGCAGCTTAGCTCTGTTTTGCTGTATCTAGGGCTCTTTGCCTGACTTCCCTGCCCTGACTCAGGAGTGGTCCAGAGACGGGTATGTGAAAAAAATTCTAGCCAATGATAGGCAGATTCAGGATTTTGTTGAACATCTTGGAGAGAGAAACTTACTTCTTTTAACAGAACCTGAAAGTTAAGAGAATGTACTACCACTACTGCCAACTGCTACTACTACTACAACTACTGCCCATGAAACTTGAGACTTAAGCCAATGATAGCAGAAGACAGAGCCGAGAAATGGAGAGAAACCGAGTCCTGATTATCCTGTTGAGTCCTGAATCCAGCTGTGCCCAATGCTGCTTTCCAGTTTGTGTAAGCCCATGAATTCCCTTTTTGTTTAAGCCAGTTTAGGTTAGGATTTTGTTACTTGCAAATTAAAGTGACCTAATGATATAGAGATCCAGTATCAAAAATAAACAAACGAAATCAAGAAATACCTAAATTTAAACTAGGCATAAGCAAATCGGGGAAAAAGTCTAGGATCAGTTAAATGAAGAATCAGTACAACAGCCTGTTGATCCTAGAAATTTCTACAAATTGAACCACAGAATCATCATGTACCTTCAGATAAAAATAACTGACCAAACAAAAGAAACATCTAAATATGCTCTGTGGCCGTATCTCTTCAACTGGGGAGTTTCAAGAGAAAACTAGAAAAAGTGTCTGAATTCAAGATGGCGGCTCTGGCAGGAACAGGGAGCAGGGATTGAGAACTCTCCTTGGGAAACTGGCTGAGGAGACAGATGTTTTATATCTGCCCTGATCAGAAAAAGCACGGGACCACTTGCTAAATGTTGAACAAGGATGCTTGCAACAACTGCATTATTTAGGGCTTCTGTGGGTTCTTATTTGAGAAGTTTTCCCAAACTCGGGAAGGTGCCTGTAGGGCCAGAAATAAAGGGGTATGATTCTTCTAGCACACAAGCAGAAGGCACTCAGACAAATGAGGAATTGTAGTTTTATGAAATGGGGACTGTACAAAGCAGATGCATTAGGAATTTGGAACCAGCTTCAGACAGTACATCGTTTGTTCAATTCCTGGTAGAAATCCTGCCCCCCAAATTATTTTTAATCTTATATGGCAATTTATTTGCCAAAAAAGGGCTTTGATGCAATGTTAGCATAAAAATCACTTTAAAGCCAGCGCAGAAGAATCTTGGATCTCAGAAGCTTCTCTCCCAAACCGCAACTAGTCCAGTGCCCATTCCTGGCAGGGTAGAATGCAGGGCGATGGTGGGCTGAGAGCTGTGAAATGACAGTGGCAAAAGCCAAAATTTTTTCTTTACATTAAGAGCTCTGCATTAGGACTCACATTCTTCTGAATCACACATTTGAAGTAACTGGTACTATTTTGTTCTGCTTCTATTGGACAAATATCAGGAACTGTTTAAAAAACAGAGCAGGATTAATTCAGCCTAGTGCACATCCAAATTCCAAAGTTTGGGTCCCTTGGGCAAGACATGTGCCAACTACAGACAGCCAACACTCCACCTGGGAAACCGACAGTCATTCCACAACTTAGTCCTTACCCATGCCATAAGATAGCTCATCTGGGTACCAGGTGCTAAGGTGTGCTTATGGCAGAAAAACATTTCTAGTACATTCAATCCTCATTTTACATGATAAACAGGAGAGGAAGTCTGTCTCTATGTTGGAAAACATAGTATCCAAAATGAAATAAGCAGCTCAGTAAAAAAGCAGAGAATCAGCCCTAGAATAGTGCCTACGGCATAACAGACACTTAATATATGCTAAGTGAATGATTAAAAGTATGAGCAAATGGATAAATGAATGAGTGAATTACTAGATTGATTATTGGTTGTACCATTTAAAATAAGACCTGGAAGAGAACCATCTGAAGAACTTTTAGAAGGAGAGCAAGATCACAGTTGGTCAACAGGACAAATATGTATTACATACACACAGGACAAATATGTATTACATACACACCTTGCACAAGATGAAGTAGGAAGTACCAAGAGGAGGGGAAAAAATGATGTATCAACATGGTTTCTCTTCATCTTGCTTGCTACCCACTTGAGAAGAGAAAGATGCTATGGAAACAAGAACTGATATTACAAGTCAGTTCTCTTGGTGAAGTAAGGGAAACAAAAAATGTCTTGCAACCATTTATATAGATTCTGAGGACTGAGGGTCAGAGAAGGCATCATAAAAGATGACATCAATGTGGGTAGAATTTGAATCCATGGCCAGGAACAAGGTTTGCCTGGCAGGGAAATGTATGATGGGAATGCAATTATTATGTGACATCTTTGGGGATAGACTGACATTTAAAGATCTTGAATCTGTCCACATATCTTGTCCTCCCTGACATGCTCCTTGTTCATACCATCATCTCTTATCTGAATTGCAGCTTGCAACTGGATTTCCAGTCTCTTCTGATCCACTGTCCTCAAGGTAGCAAGAGTGATGTTTTAAAAAGGCAAATCTTATCAGTTTCCTCTCCTGCTTAAAATCCTACAGCAGTCCTTCATTGACCTTGAAGAAAGTCCTAACTCACCAGGCTTTCAAGTCCAGTAGGATCTGGCCCCTGTTTTCTTCCTCTACTCCCCACCTTCTCAGCTCCATCTCTACCCCACTCTACCTTTCAGCTATTTTGAACTTCTTTCAATTCCCCAGCATGTTATGCTGTCTCACCCCTGGGCTTCACACATGTTATCCCGTCTTTTCCCCTGTCTTTCACCTGGCTGACTCCTATTCACAAACTAGATTTCAGCCTAAATAGCACTTCATCCTCAAATTGTCCCTTGTCTTCAGTGTCCCTCCCAAGTTCTATTACAGCACACCCTGTGCTTTTTGCTCATAGCACTTGCTGCACTCTGCATGATCATGTCTAGTGTTCCATTTCACCAACATGCTGTAAACTTCTTGAGGACAGAGGCCAGGCCTGTCTCCATCACACTGTACTCTAAGCACAAAATGTAATGTCTGGCACTTGTTAGATATTCAGTAAAGTTTTGTTGAATGGATGGATGGATGCATGCATGCATTGGGAGAGAATTGAGGATTGTAGTGGGCCTTGAATGACAGGCCAAGAATTCTTAATGTTTCCTTGAAAGCATCTCATTATTAAATGATTTTTAATACAAAGTGTGACAAAACATGGGACGATGAAATCGATATTTAAAGCAAAGAATAGATGTAATTGATTTTATGGGGAGGCAAATTTGGAGAAAGAAGGAAGTCAAAGATTTCCTTTCACAAAAAGAAAGGGTTATGAAGAAGGAGGCATGAAATCAGCAGTACAGTCTTGAAATGCTTCTTAGAAAATATACTACTATTTGGGGACTTTTAAGATTTGACTCAACCCAGCATTGATCCTCAAAACCACACATAGGCCAACCTCCTTCAGTGCCATGGAATGTACACTGGGACTCGCCTCACCCAGACACACTCACACTTAAAAAGGGGGAACACAGTCCCACAAGGAGTTTGAAAATAACCCTTTCCACATGAGGTGAGCCACTTTTCTTTGATTTAGGACGCAGAACAATGAAGATTCACAGTTGAATAGGAAATAGACACTCTCAAGCTCAACTCCACTGGAATTCGAGTAGCAACAAACATGCAAGTCCCCAATCTACCTAACCCACAAGGCAGAGCTAGTCCTTAAGATTCAAAAAGAAGAAGAAAAAGAAAAACATTAAAATGTTACAATTGTTCTGTGATTATGTGCGTGGTAAATGTCATGTAGGCAGAGGAGGGACAAAATGCCCAGCCAGTTTGCAAATACTGGAAAGGTCAAAACAGCCCAGCCAGCTGCCATGAGTCGTCTCTGAATACACTGGTCTGGGTGATTCCCAAGCCTCGCTCTGCATTCAGAGTCAAATGTTGTTTGGATTATAATATTAAACTAGGACTAACATGATCCACACTATTAAGATTATTTGAAGAGTGGAAAATTGCACAACTCAACATTTTCTTCATCTTCAGAGCCTGAGGGTCATAATTTGTAGGGATCACTGTGCTGGCTTAAATACTGATTATTTACTAAGTGTTGACAGCTTCTTAAACTCTGTATGAAATGGAAAAGAAGTCTCAGTCCCTCCCAGGGGAGTGATAATATAAGTTAGGCAAGCAAAGAATCCCATATAATATAGACAAGGTGAGGCTATAAAGTAATGACAGGGAATTTTTTAAACAAAAATACTAGCACTTACTATTCAAGAGAGCTGTTCTGCAAATCCGTCGCCTCAGGGCACGGTACAATTAGTTCAGAGAAATGTCTATTGCACAAACATTTTTGGAAGCCATCTTCAGACATTGAGTGGCAGTGTGGTGTAGTGAAACAACCATAAATTTGAATTCTGACCATTACCAGCTGCATGACCATAGGCAAGTTTCCTAATTTATCAGCTCCTGAGGTTCTTTCTCTTGTAAAATGGAGATAAGATGCCACTCTACAGCTTTTTGAGGATCAATGAGATAATGCATAAAAATTGCTAGTCAGAGTGGGCTTGCCACCAAAGTTAGCCATTATTAGTGGTGACATTTAAGTTTAGTTTCAGATCTAAAAGATAAAATCAGTCTTGTTGGGTTAATCATAGATTTTTTTAACCAACAGCAGAATTGCCTGGCATGAATACTCTTCAGTCATCCAACTTATTTTCTGTGTATGTTTCTTAGGACTGTCATTACAAAGTATCACACATTGGGTGGTTTCAACAACAAAAATTGTAGTCTCTCACAATTCTGGAAGTTAGTAATTTGAAATCAAGGTATTAGAAGGCCATGCTCTCTCTCTAAAGGCTCTTGAAGAGAATCCTTCCTTGCCTCTTCCTAGCCCTGCTGGTTGCCAGCAATGCTTGACATTCCCTGGCTTGTAGATGCATCACTCCAATCTCTGCCATCGTCATCACATGGTGTTGTCCCTGGATGTCTCGTCTCTGTGCGTCTTCTCTTCTTTATATGAGACACCAGTCATAATGGATTTAGGGCCCACCCTAATCCAGTATGACGGCATCTTAACTATAATAACTACATCTGCAATGTCCCTATTTCCAAATAAGATCACATTCACAGGTTCTGGATGGCCATGAATTTGGAGGGCCCTATTCAACCCAGAACAGTCCCCAAAATCAAACTCCAGAGCAAATATATTTTTTTCACTCTTGAAGATAGTCAAAATAATCCAATGCAGGTTTTATAAAAGCTAGCAAAAAAGAAGAGTTTCGGATATGTTTCAGATAGTGGTAGCTTTATTGGAAAAGCTCCCAGCTACCACTGGGAAAAGCTATCCGATTAATTTAAAGCCATCATATCTGATTCTGTGTATATGTTCTTTAGGTTTTTAAAACTTTACTTAAACCACTCTTTTGTCCCACCACAAACACGGGAGGGAGGATGTATTCATGCATGCCTATGCTTGCCAAATGACACTCATCTCAAAGAGCTATTCTCTCAAAAAATAATAATAACAATGAAAGTGAAGCATTCCTCTAAATTTGATCTGGCCATGACAGATTCAAGCTGAGTTACCCCTTTTTCACTTTCACTCTCCAAGATTTGTGTAGTTATATGGTTTTTATTTGCAGAAATATCAGAAATTTCTGTAGATAAGCAGCATTTATACTTCTTTTCATCCAAGCAGAAAGTCAAGGATGGTCCCCAGTCTCAGGTGAAACCTTTCCATTGGAGATGGCAATTTTTTTTCCCTGAAATTGAAATATTACCTTTGCCATACGTTAACTTCCCATAGCCATTGGGATATATTTATTGGCTCTCTATTCTAGTCCATTGGTATTTTATGCCAATACTACATTATTGTAACTACAGTGGCTCTAGGGGATTACTCTTTAGTAAAATATCACTGCTTTTCTTTTTAATAATTTTATTGACTATTTTCATTTAATCTTCCATATGTTCTTTTTATAAAATTATTCTTTTTTATTATACTAAGTTCTGGGGTATGGAGACAGTTACTTAAAGAAGACTGAGATTACAACAGAGCTTTAATTTTCAAAATGATGGGAAATTTCCCTGTAGCCAACCTTATAAAACCATCTCTTAAAAAAGAAAAATAAGGACAGAAGGACTTAAAGGCAGGTTCCATAAGATGTGAGTACCTGAAGATGGAAGGAGAAACCCAGCAGAAATTAGAACCTGGCTAAATAGAGAGTGGTGCCATGAGGAAGGGTGGTACAATTCGCCTATAGAGAGACAGAAAGCACACCAGAGTTTGAGGGACATTTCAGTCGCTTGATGTGCTGCTAGCTTGTGGACTATACTAATCTCTGAACTTCAAAGGAAGGGGCTGTGTCGGCCTGAGAAGAGACGATGACCCTCTTCTAGGGTGAGCCTCCATATGTGATGAGGCGGCTGAGCCATAAACAGAAGACATCAATCTCAAAAGCAGGGAAGTCCTAATGTGGCCCTGGGAGGCTGGAAGGGTAGAATTGTTGTCTAGATCAGCACAGGAATTTCTGGACTCCCTGTGCCAAAATCTAGGCAGTCTGAATGGACTTGTCCAGAGGCCCTGGTAAAGCAAACAGGTATCCTAGAAGCAGTGATAGGGGACTAAGAGTCCTGCTAACAGAGAGTTCTAGCATAAAGAAAACCTTTATCCAAGGATTGACTGACTATCATGTTGGGAAATGCTCTGCTCAATTTTTGAGCCCTGTGATTTTAGCTATGGCAAATTACATAAGCTTTATCAACTTTTCTTCTCTTTTTAAAAGATTCTTTTAAAGCAATGTGTGAGAGTCCCATTTGCTCTACATGCTTGCTAACACTTGGTATAGCCAGTCTTTTTAAATTTTGACTATTCTAGTACCTGTGTAGTAGTATCTCACTGTGGTTTTAATTTGCATTCCCCTAATGGTCAGTTCAGCTGAGTGTCTTTTTATGTGTTTATTTGCTATTCATATATCTTGATTGGTGATGTGTCTATTTAAATCTTCTGCTCATTTTTATGGGGCCATTTGTTTTCTTATTACTGAGTTTTGACAGTTCTTAGTATAATCTGTATGCATGTCCTTTACTAGATAAGTGGTTTTCAAATATTTCTGCCCATCTGTAACTTGTCTTCTCATTCTCTTAAGTGGCTTTCAGTAACATACGTTTTTAATTTTGCTGAAGTTCCACTTATCTTCGTTTCTCTTTCACGGATCATGATTTTGATGTTCTATCTAAGAAATCTTTGTCTAATCCAAGGTCATAAAGATTTTCTGTTTTCTTTTTAGATAATCTCTCCGTTTTAAAATGCTAAAAATCAATTTTAAACTGTATTAAAATTGTATGTAGGCCAAAACAAAACACATTTATGGGGTCTGTCTAGCCTGTGGGCCACCTTTATAACCTTTTACTTGTAGAATTGTCCCATGTATCCCTAATTTTATATCAGGCAAGGCTAAAGAGTCCCTGGCTTAACTTCACAACACATAATGTATCATAAGAAACTGTAGTCAGTCTTGTTCAGGGTCATCTTTTTCTTACAAAAAAAAGGCCTTCTTTTTCAAAAGTATTGAGATGTCTAAATCCTGTTATTGAGCATTGAAAGATGAACGATGGCTTCGTTCTCCTGAGTCTGGGCTTCCTTGGAGTTCTCGGGAGATGAAAATGACATTCACTTTAGCAAGATGTATTAGCAATCTACCGCAGCAACCAACTATTCCTGAACTTTAATAGGAAAGTTGTAGAGAAGAGGGGGTTTGGAGAAAAGGCAGAGAAAAACCAGAATTTTCTGTTTACATTTTGCTTTCAGGTGACTAGGGTCCCTGCCAGTTGGGGCCCTTTATTCTTCAGCGCTATCTCAGAACTCAAAAGACGATTTCAAAAGCACTTGTCTAATTAAATGTTCTTCTTTTAATATCAGCTCTCCAGGATAGCATTTTTAATACACTGAAAGAGACAAAATTCTGGCCCTGGGCAAATGTTAAATATATTTTTGTGTAGTCAACAGAGAAAGAGTGTTCTTAGCCCCTCTGGCATTGTTCTGGAAATCCACACATGATGCAGGAAATTAGTTGTCTCTTGTCCAAAAACTGCTCACAGGAATGGTTTTTAAAAGTGCAATCAGACACCACTAAAATGCAGAGTGCCATTCAGAATGTGCAATGTGTGGAGCACAGAGGCTTCAGAATGTTGCAGTCCACAGGCTAAGGAAAGACGGGCTTCAGCAGAAACTTAGTGGGAAAAACCTTTGCTAAACCTCTGAAACCACTGCAGCATTAAACTTCAGAAACCCCAAAGAAGCTAAGGTTAATTATTGAGCCCCAGTGCTCTGAAAACACGTGAACCTTGTCTTCTACTACAGCTTAGATGCTGATTTTGATCAATAGGCATAAACTTTCCTTAGCCATTCTGAGGCTACTCTGTTGGTCATTGCAACAAGATTTCAAAAGCAGCCCTGGAATCCTATGAACAGTATGTTTGGAGAAGTGGACATTTTCTATTTGCCTTTAAAAGAGAATATTGCCTCTGAGTCTCCTTCATCTCCTCTTCCAGGGTATACATGATATTCTCAAAGCAGAGGGATGGCTTATCCCTCCTCTGAAGCCATTTCACACGATTATATCTATTTGATTTTTTAAAAGGAAATGTAGAGTATCAGCAAGTGGTTAAATGCCTCCAAAACTTCCAGCAAGTCAACAGTTAAAACTTGAGTGCCACTTGGGACCAGACCTTTTTGATTTTGTACCAGCAGTCTAGTACCTTGGCCTCTTTGTATTTCTTTCAGTATTTAGTACTCTTCTTTGGTCAGTTCATCACAGTCCAAAGTGAAGCGACTGATTCTTGCAACTAATCCAAGGTAGGACAGGTTTCAAATCTAAATAAATATGAACTAAGGAATAATGTTCCTAGCAAACTCCATTACTGCGGAACTTCAAATAACAACATGGGGTCTGTTGATTATCTTAAGGGTGTCCTCTGTGTCGTTCACAGAGAGGCTCACTCAAACACAGGAATTTGGGACTTCATTATCCCTCCACACACTTCAGGATAAAAATTAGTTTAACTCAATTTTACTTAGTAGAAAACATATCACCCACCACAGAGAAAGGCAGCCATTCCATTTTAGTTTACTTTTTGCTAGTCCCAGATGACACGGTCTAGCAAGGAGAGCATGACCCTTGCGTTTTGGAGATAGGGGTTTGAATAGTAGCCCTGCCACTTGTCTGTGAAGCCTTGAGTAAGTGTTCTGACCTCTGAAACTGTGTCTTCATATACAAATGCAGCTACTGACACACAGGTCAGAGAGTTGCCGTGAGAATTCAACTGCGCTTGAGCAAGGTACCCAGGAGCCATGGCTTCTTATGCATCTCTTCTTACCGCACTGGATATTCTATCATAGCATTCACCACCGTGTGCTACAATTGTTCATTTCATCTTCCGACTTCCCCCAACACCCCTTTAGGGTAAGGACCATGTCTTTCTTGCTCATCTTTGTATTATTCACCTAATGCAGGCTTAATACAGAGGAAGCATTCAATACATTTTTTTTGAAGGAAAGAAAGAAGAAAGGGAAGGGAAAAATAAGTTGATTAGAATAGTGAAAAATAGTAAAACTACTATTTGGAATCAGATGGATTTCAAATCCAAACCTTGTTACTCACTAGCTGGGTGACTTTGGGCAAGTTATTCAACTTTCATGTACGGGGAGAAGATAATAATACCCACCTCAGTAAGGCCTATGAAATTATTTTTGCAAAAGATTTAGCATAAGGCTTGGCACATGATAAGTGCTCAATAGTCATTATTCTCATTATTATTATGTAGTTCATTGGAATTCATCTGAAATCTAATTGGCACTTTGCAAATGTTTAGGTAACCATTGCTTTGGTACTTACTGGGTGAAACAAATATAGAAGTCATCCAGGGATGACCTTCTGCTATCACTAGAAATAAGTTGTAAATACTCAGCACCTATCCTGCAACTGCATACAAGACACGAAAGCTGCCACTGTCATCAGCAAGTCTGACCCTGTTTGGAGTGTGGCATTTTAACTGATTCCGACAGACATTTGAACGACGCTTATCTGTACATTCAAGGCACAGGGCTTAGGGTTCTAAGCCTTTCAGAAATAAACTGGATCCTGCCCTCCAGGATCTGGCAACTCATAAATCACTATAAGAAAAGGCAGAATGTGATCAAGTGCTCCAGCCCAAGCACAGACCATGGTCTGATCCCCAGGGTGTAAGGATGGGTGACCTGCTGATTGGGGAAAATGGGCTCTGGGTTCAAATCACTATCTCACTATTTACTGGCTTGGTGTAACTTCATTTCCTGATATGCCAAGCGAGAGCACCTAAAGTATCCGTGGTGAACATTAAATGAGAAAATACTTGTGTAAGACTGAACACAACACCTGGTAAGTGCTCGATAAATGTTAACCATTATTATTGTGGCTGTTATTATCCAGCTAGTATTACTTTAACTGGATAATAGTAATATTAGTATAGATATTAATATATGACATAACACTACTCACATATTAAAACTAACATGTATCTCTATGTTCCTACAGTTAATATAATTATAATATTATTTTATAATAAATATTTGTATCGACTTCTCAAAAAATGTTTCATGAAATTTGTTTGTAAAATAAATCTAAGGCAACCATTCTCAGACTTCAGTGAGCACATGCACCACTTGGAGAGCCACTGAAAATTTCTATTTTCACCCCCAGAGAGCCTGATTCAGTAGGTCCAGAATGGAGCTCTGGAATCTTTATTTTAGCAGGCTTCCTGTGTAATTCTGATGTAAACGGTCCTTGAACCACTCTTTTAAAATGTTGGTCTAAGGTTTAGGAGTTTCTCTCTTGAAATATATATATATATATATATATATATATATATATATACACACACACACACACACACGTATATATATATATACACATACGTGTATATATATATATATACACATACGTGTATATATATATATATATACACACACATACGTATATATATACACATACGTGTATATATATATATATATACATACGTATATATATATATATACATACGTATATATATATATATATATATACATACACACACACACACACACACACACACACACACACACACACACTTTTTGCTATCCTTCTATTCATCTTGGAGTTTTAACTGTTTTTCCCAACCCAACTATCTCGCTGAGCATAAGATTCCCATCATTTACACAGGTGGATTTTCTTTTCCATTTTGGAAAACTATTTAGTCTCTGAAAGTTAAGGTGCTTTTCCTTGAGTAGGACTAGGGCAAATGTAGTGGAGACTCCTTTTCCTGGACCTCAGCTAGGAAATGACAGAGAAAGCCAAAAGGGTCTCCTCTTGAAAGGTCTCTCCACCAAGAGCAGTTTAAACTGCAGGAAGTCTGCTGAACTGGATTATCCTGTGAGTTGCCCCTTCCCCAGGTTATGTGGCCAGTGTTTGCAAGGAACATGTGGCCACAGAAATGTAGCCCTGTGTGCCATGGGGGAATCCAGGGCTTTGGTTTGCTGTATGTAGCAGCTGTGTACACGATGAGGTGAATCTGAGGGACCAGGGCGCCCCGTCAAGAGGCAAATAATGCAGGAACCTGCCCGAATCCTGCTGTCCTGGGATCTGCCCTTTCTTGGCTCCCAGTAGAACAGCTCAGGTGCCTGTTCTGAAGGAAGGAAACTTGAAAACACAAATCACAATGTCCTTTGTGCCCTCTCTACGTTTGAAGTTGAATAAACTCTGCTCATGGATAAGGTGGCAGAAGGACAAAGGAAGGACCCTGGCTACCAGGGCTGGACTGAGTCCCCTCACAAGGGGCTCTGCCATGGAGGGCTGGTACAGGGTGGGGTAAAAGTGATGAGAAAGAAACTAAAAATACATTTTTTTTTTATACTTTAAGTTTTAGGGTACATGTGCACAACGTGCAGGTTTGTTACATATGTATGCGTGTGCCATGTTGGTGTGCTGCACCCACTAACTCTTCATTTAACATTAGGTATATCTCCTAATGCTATCCCTCCCCCCTCCCCCCACCCCACATCAGGCCCCGGTGTGTGATGTTCCCCTTCCTGTGTCCATGTGTTCTCATTGTTCAATTCCCACCTATGAGTGCGAACATGCGGTGCTTGGTTTTTTGTCCTTGCGATAGTTTGCTGAGAATGATGGTTTCCAGCTTCATTCATGTCCCTACAAAGGACATGAACTCATCATTTTTTATGGCTGCATAGTATTCCATGGTGTATATGTGCCACATTTTCTTAATCCAATCTATCGTTGATGGACATTTGGGTTGGTTCCAAGTCTTTGCTATTGTGAATAGTGCTGCAATAAACATACGTGTGCATGTGTCTTTATAGTAGCATGTAAAAACACAATTCTGAACTTAGTGGCAGTAATAAATATCTTCTTAAGAAATTGGAAGATCAAAAAATGGCTTTATCTGATAGTCACAAAGCTGTTAAAATAATGGTTAATGCCCTAGCTGTAAGACAAGTAGCTGTTAGTCCTGGTGTTTTCACATCTCTGGATACCTGAGAAGTTTCTTAGGATCTGCTGTAACAAACTTTAGAAATTGAAAAGTTGGTTATCTGTTACTGTGTAATAAACTACCCCAAAACTTAGAGCAACCTTTTTTTTTTTTGGCTCACAATTTTGTGGGTCAAGAATCTAAGAAGGGTTCAGCGAGGGGATTCACCTCTCTGCTCCTTGGTGTCAACTGTAGCACCTGGGACTGGAGGATCCATTTCTGAGATTCTGGATGGCTTCTGTGCTCACCTATCTGATTCTTCAACTTCTTTTCACCCCCACCATGACAATTTATCTGCTGGAGCCCCTGTATGTGGCTTGTGCCTCTCACAGCACAACAGCCTCAGGGTAGTCAGACTTTTACCATGGAACCTCAGTGTTCCAACAGAACAAAGTGGAAGCTGCCAGTCCTTTTAAAGCCTAGGCCCAGGGTTGGCATGCATCACTTTCACTCTCTTCTGTTCATCAAAATGTCACAAGCCAACATGGGTTCAAATAGAGAAGAACTAAAACCCACTGGTCCATGGAAGGAATGTCAGAAAATTTCCAGCCATTTCTAATTTGCCATAGTCAGTGTTTAAATAGAAAAGAGAAATTATCTTCGAACATAATTAAATCTACCAACACCAGTAATTTTAAAGATGCAACCATCTTAAAGCAACCAAACTTTTCAATATCCAATGACTGGTCTATGGCCTCTGCTCTCCATACCCAGACAAGAAGCTGATTGCTAAGAAAGGTCAGGGACATGAAGACACTGTAAATAGACCAAAAGCTATTTTTAAATAGAAACTATTAGTTGTTAAAAAAAAAAAAAAGGATTCATTTTAATGGAATTGACTTTTATCTTTGAAAATGCTAAGTCCTTGGCTGTTTCAGAAAAAGAGTGGCACTGGAAGCCTAAGAGTAGCCAGTAGCTCTATCTACAAAGCATTGTTACTGTGGACCACTTCCCGGGACCAGGAGATAAGTTCATTGTTCAATGCTCTGCTTATGGTATTCAGAGTGACCCTTGCAGTCTACACACAAACAGTTCTTTGTTGCTGTGGGTGCAGCAAATTCTTTACCGTGAATAATCTACTACAACAAATGTCCCTTTAGTTCCTTCTCAGTTCTTGAGAGTATTTGAGCTCTCTGCAGAGAAAGAAATCCCTGCTCAATAGGAATTAAATGCTGGAAAAGCTCTCTTTAAACATTGCTATGGAGAATAAATGGAATGGCACGATTTGTTCTACAAGTACCACAAAGGAATAAATGAATGAATTGGAGACAGACATAGATACAAAGCACTACAGCAGTAAGAAAGCAATGTGGTAGAGTCATGAGGCATCTGGGCTCTGGAATCACCTAGACTGGGTGTGTATCTATGCCTCATCACTTTCCATCACTTGGACCTCATAGGTAAGGAAAAGACCACAATAGAAACATCTACTTCCTAGGACTGCTGGTTAAAGGGTTAAAGGAGACAATCCCTGCAAAGTACTAAGTGTGCAGTAAGCATGTGATACATGGTAGCTGCTATTGTTATTACTACCTTTACCACATCATGGATTCACACTGCTTTTCAGATGTGCAAAGAAAATGTAGTTTTCTAATTTTGCCATTGTGGATGTAATATTCTTCAGGAGTCCCTCACCTCTGTGGGTAGTTGGGAAGGGAAGAGTTTACTTATTTAATTTTTGAGACAAAGTCTCACACTGTCACCCAGGCTGGAGTGCAGTAGTGCAATCATGTCTCACTGCAACCTTGACCTCCCAGGCTCAAGTAATTGGCCCACCTCAGCCTCCTGGGTAGCTGGGACAACAGCCATATGCCAGCATGAACAGCTAACTTTTGTATTTTTTGCAGAAACAGGGTCTTGCCATGTTGCTTAGGCTAGTCTCAAACTCCTGGGCTGAAGGGATCCTCCTGCCTTAGTTTCCCAAAATGCTGGGATTACAGGCATGAGCCACCACTCGTCAGGGAAGGGAAGATTTTAAATATGTCAACTTAAGTGACCTCAATCTCTCTGGCTTGAACGCTTTTTTGGGGGAATGACTTCGTCTTGTTTAGGTCATCTAGATGTTTTCCCTTCCCTCTACTTCTCACCAAAAATGGAGTCAGAGGGTCTATATGGGAGGTGAAGGCCAGGGACCCATAGGCCCACCTCTGGTTCTTGCTTTTCTCTGCAGTGAGTGTGTCTTCGTCCTGCACTGGCATTGATGACACTGACAATCATGGATCCAGTCACTTGCTCCAGACCTCTGCAGTACCGCTGGCCTTCCCAGCACCTCTGAGTACCATCATGGGGTGGGATGCACAATTTTGCTTCCAGGAGACATTTGGCAATATCGGGAGACATTTTTGGTTGTTACAACTGGGAGGTACTACTGGCCAGAGTTGCTGCTAAACATCCTACAGTGCTTGGGACAGACGGCCAACAACAAAGAATTATCTGGGCCAAAATGTCAATGGTGCTGAGGTTGACAAATATCTGATGTAGAGTTACACAGGACCCCCCAGGCCACACCCAAAGAAGGCAGCCTCTAGATTTCAGATTCTCAACTCTTCTTAAATCTATCTAGATGTTTCCACCGCACAGCAGTGTCTCCCTCTCCCACTAGTTCAGGCTTCCACTCTGAGATTGGAGGACGTGGGGACATAAGGGCATGAACCCCTAACCACTTCTCTTCTCCTCACCTTTCACTGGGGGCAGAAACAGTGGGATTTCCTACCCTTTCCTGTAGGACACCAATTTCCCCAACTTCATTTCCTCCTTCTCCTTTCCGAGGTGTTGTTTGCTCTGGAGTCTTTGCTGGGGCCAAAATGGTGGAATGAGTGCAGGGAGAGAGGCTGACATCACTGAGGAGGAGAAAATGAGAGATACTTCAAAAATGCCTTGTTACACTTTTATTAGTATTAATAATATCATACAACCAGCTGTGTTCCTTATGCAAGGTGTATTGGTTTGTTCTTGCACTGCTGTAAGAGCTACTTGACACTGGGTTATTTATGAAGCAAAGAGGTTTAATTGGCTCACAGGCTACACTGGAAGCATGGCTGGGGAGGCCTCAGAAAACTTAGAATCATGGTGGAAGGGGAAGGGGAAGCAGGCATGCTACATGGCTGGAGCAGGAGGAAGAAAGAGAAGGGGGAGGTGCTACACACTTTTAAACAACCAGATCTCATGAGAACTCAGTCACTATCATGAGAAGAGTGACCCATGATCCAATCACCATGATCCAATCACCTCCCATCAGGCCCCTCCTCCAACATTGGGGATTACAATTCAACGTGAGATTTGGGCAGAGACACAAATCCAAACCATATCATCAGGCATAAAACTTGATAAAATATGCATCGTATGAAACTATTTACACAATAAAGAATTTATTGCTACCAAAACACCAAAGCAATGTATTGTTTTAGGTTTCTTTTTCCTAGGTAGCCTTCCCTCTAATAACGTTGGGCTGCTCCCAAAAGGTCTACCCTGATCAAAAGAAACCCTGCTCACAGGCCACATGCTTGCCTCTCTCCACCTCTGAAATGCACGAGCCTATGCTCTGCTCTCTTGGCATCAGGTCTCTACACGTTGGTGGCTGTATGGATTCTGCCCAGGCCTGAAAGCTGCCTGCAATGACTAAGGTGGTCAGAGCAACTCACTACCCAGGAGAGCAGAGTGATGAAAAGCACAGGGCCTGGGGTGGGGCTGCTGGCCTGGGAATGCTGGGTTCAACATCTGCTAGAGGTGGGATCAAGAGTCAATCACTTCCTCCCTGTGAACTTCAGTTTTCTTGCTGGAAAATGGAGATGATAGTATTCACCACAGGGGTTGTTTTATAGTCATTTGGGCTTTGTTAGCAAAATACCACAGACTAAGTGGTTTAAACAATGGAAACTTACTTACTCACATTTCTGGAGTCTAGAAGTAAAGATCAGAGTGCCAGTATGGTGAGTTTCTGGTGAAGACCCTCTCCTTGGCTTGTAGATAGCCGCCTTCTCACTATGCCTACACACGGCCTTTCCTCTGTGCAAATTTAGCAAGAGCAAACTCCTATCTCCTCGTCCTTTAATGAGGCCACCAATCTTATCGAATTAGGGCCCCACCCTTGGAACTCATTTAACCTTAATTACTCTTAAAGACCCTGTCTCAAAATATAGTCACATTGGGGGTTAGGGTTTTAACATGAATTTGAGGGGGAAACAATTCAATCCATGTCATTGGGTTTCTTTAAAAATTACATCATCCAGGTAGTGTTTGAATCTAGTTAGAACTCAATAATTATCTCTTATTATTCGAATTGCGGTGGTTGTTGTTAGAATTGCAGAGCACCATCTAACCACTGCTTGACACCTACCATGACAGGAGCTACTGAGTAGGGAATAGGGAAGGAAGAGACACTGCTGACATGCAATAGCAGACCCAACAGCCGGGCCCCAGGAAGTGCCCCAGGAAGGTGCCATATTGGGCAGGAAAGAAGAGGTAAGGACCTTACAAAGAAGAGCAGGTCACCAATGCTAAAAGAAAACAGTCTTTATTTATTTATTACACAATCATACTAACAGCTGCCAATTATTTATTTAACACTTACTATGTGCTGAACACTTTATTCTCTCTACCAACTCTTTCCCAACAACCTCAACAGATGGAGAAACTGAGATTCAGAAAAACAAAATGGCCTTGCCAAAGTTACATAGCTATTAAGTGGCAGAAGCTTTACTTATTTCCAAGATTGGATCCCAAAGTCACGCATGCACTTTCATCTCCTGTACAAGCTCAATGCCATGGACAAAAAGATTGGAAGATGTGGTCCATCTCCCAGAATCATTATTAATTAGAAGGAGGAGCTGATGTCTAGCAACATGTCACTGTATCCAATGTATAGAATTAGCTCTTGCAGCATTTGGAAAGGGCTAGAAAAATTCTCCATTTGCCCCAAAACATATTGGGCTGAGAATTAATATATAAACTGGAGAGATGAGGGGATTGAGGGTATTTTATCAATTGGCTATTACTGAGTAACAAGTAATACTTCAGTGGATTAATTAAAACAATAACCACTTATTCTTGCCCACGGGTCTGCAGGTCACCCGGGCATTGTCTCGTCTAAACTGGGCTCAGCTAGGTGGCTCTACCTCAAGCTATAAGTCTGGCTACACCTAGCCCCATGCTATGGGTTCTTTATGTATTCCTCTAGGCTTCAAGCTGAGGGGAAGCAGATAACTGAGAGAGAAATGATGCCTCTTATAGTCCAAGTGCAGAACTGGTACATGGTCACAGCCATCCACACTGCATTGACCAAAGCAAGTCACAGCCAGTGGAAAAATTGACTCTGCCTTTTGTGGGAGGGACTGCAATATCACATGGCAAAGGGTGTGGACCCAAAAACAGCTGAAGCATGAGGTCAATAATTCCATCTACCAAAGACATTTTCTGATTTGGAAAGGAATGGCTAATGTAGAGGGAATAGAATAGATAGAGAGGATCTATACAATCCCACTGACTTTCAAACGATTTGCCAGAAAGGGCTTTGCCTATGAATAAAACACCACATCTCATTTCTCTAACAAAGAAGACAATTAAAGACAAACCCTCCCACCCTCCCACTTTCCCCTTCTTTTTCCTTACAAAGTATACGAAATTGTAGGATGCCAAAATATTAGGCAAGCCTGACTAAAAAGAGAGATCCCTCAAGTCTCAAATTTCAACCATCTATAAAAGTAGCATTTGGAAAATTTCTGTGAAAAATGCAAACCTTTGCACTTGGGTCTCAGAGTCCCCATTTTATCTACACCTCTGTAATCTGTAAACACAGACGCCATCCTAACTGCATGACAAATAGGAACAAGTATCCTAATTAAACAAAAAGACAAAAGACCCTAGAAACATAAATTGGAAAGGACTCAGGTCATATTTTATTACAGAAAGCCAGGGAATGCCTCTAGCAATGTCACATTACTGGATAGAGCTGTATTTACATTTTGTTGAGTTGGTCCAGCAGTTCTAATGATGGGGCTGTTTTTGAATCAGGGAGATGGTTCCAATGAAAAACTGGATAGGTCTGTCTTTTCAGCAGAAATCTCCCTGGTATCATTTTCTTTTCTATTCTATTTAGGCAAGCTCCACAGTGCTAACTATTTCAGTTCCCAAGAGGCAAGGAAACTTGATGAGCTCTTTCTTGGGGTCTGTGTGGCATCTGGGTACCCTCTTGCTCCCACTCTCTAATGAACTATGGGGAAATTCTTCATGTAGCTTGGTGTACAGGTCAGCATCCAGATGTCTTCTTACCCCAAACTACAGGGTCTACAGGGTTGTTCAGCCCTTCCTTCCATTCAGCAAGTAGTTACAGATCTCCCATGGTGTGCCCAGCATTGTTGCCAGGCAATGGAGGGTAGCAAAGGAGGGGGGTGTGAAATTATGTTCTCTGCACAAAAAGCAGTATTGTCTATCCACTCACTAGGTTCAGAGCTTTAGTGGCTTTAGTTGCACTACAACTGGACAACTAGGGGTTAAGTGTTTTGAGCTTTGCTTATAAAAAGACAGACCCAAATCAGATAAGGTAACTAATTTAGAAGCAATTACAATGCATTTTATCCTATTCTTTTGCCAAAGAGCACCTTATCTAAGCTGGCTTTCCTTTTTACTTTTCCTTTTAAGTCTCAAAAATATCTCATTCAGGGTCAGGAAAAAGAAGACGCACAGACCAAGCATTTTGAAAAGGGGATGATGAATGCATTGGATGCTTACACTGTGTTGAAGAGGGAATTTGGATCCAACACCCACCAGGTCTTAGGGCTTGACAGACTCACTCGAGTATGCCTGACCAACCTCATATTCTGGTGGGGATTTTTGTTTTCCATGAACATATGGATTGTGTTAGTCTTTAGGAAGCACTTAAGCTAAAAAAGAAAACAAAGTTAAGATACAGTACTTTTTATTATATGAAAGCCTAGTTCCTCTTTTTGTACTATTTAGTATTCTGCCCCTGGTTATTTCAAAATAAACAATTTTTGAAGATAAGTAAATAAGCATTGCTATTGAATACAGTGGTTCTCATACTCTTGGATGCATAAGAATCCCCTTGGGAGTTTGTTAAAAATCCAGATTTCAATACAGTAGACCTAGATAATAACCCGCAAAATTTCCATTTTTAATCATTTCTCCAGAAGATGTGGTTTACAAACAAGACTTTGAACATCACTGGTCTAATTACCTTTCTGATTGTCTTTGGTTGACTCTTAGTCATTTGTATTATGGCTTACTTCTGACTCTACCAGTGAATGACAAAGCATGACCTATTCTTGCTTTTCAGAAAGCACTTGCCTCTCCCTGGCTATATTCATTTGTGATTGGCCCAAGATGAGAGAGATATCACCTGAGTCATCAGAGAAGGAGGCTTGAGCCACTTTGTCCCAGGACTCAGAGGAAAATATGGGAGACCTCTAGACCAGTGCTTTTGAACCAGGAGCAATTTTGCTCTCTACATTTAACAGTATCTGGAGACATTTTTGGCTATCACAATCTCAGCATGAGGGGGGACAGTGAGGAACGCTACTTGCATCTGGTGGGTGGAGACAGCGTTGCTGCTAAACATCCTGTCATGCAGAGTACACCCCTCCACAACAAAGCCTTCTCCAGCACAAAGTGTCAACCAGGCTGAGGTTGAGAAATCCTGCTTTAGGCCCAGCTGTTCTTTGAAGAGAATTTGGAGAGTTTACACCCCATTTCCACATGCCCAAAAGATATATTGAGCCCAGATGGTGAGAGTCTTGAATGCCATTATTAGGCATGTAGACGTGATTTCATATTTAGTAAGCTTAGAAAAATAAGAAAAATCACCTGTGCTTGCAAAACAATTAGCCAAGAGGAGTAGTGATGACCAATGCGAAATAAATAGCTCTTAATAGACACATGCATGTCGAATTTTGACACTAAGAAAACCACATTGTAGTGGGTCAGTGTGTCTAAATAATTGGTTTTAGCTAATTTTGTTGTAGCACAAACTCATTAAGATGTGGCCAGGGACATAGATAAAAACAGCACAGTCCTTGCCCTCAAATAAATTATTTTCTGAGTGGAGATCATGTGTACCCCAAAACTCATAATGTAAAGTGGAGCAAGATGAACTCAAAATGCAGCATATGAAACTACAGTAAATAGGAGAGGGGAACCTGGCTGTCCCGATGGAGGGAGACTAGGTAGGCATGGGAGGAAGGATCAGGGAAGCATATGTGATATTTCTTGAGTTTGCTCTTAAAAAATACGTATGATTTTGACAGAAGACATGGAAACAAAGTTATTCAAGCAAAGATTCAGAGGCAGAAATGTACAGGGTGGTGGTGGGGTGGGGATAGTGGTCCCAGATGAGTGAAGAGGAAGGTTTCATTGGTATGTGAGGGAGAGAAGTGAAATTGACCCCGTTTGGGAAGGTTCTGACTGCTTGGCTAATGTGTTCGCACTCTGTTCTGTGGGGAGCCAAAGGACCACCCAGGTCCTTGATCCTGGGAGATTCTGATTCCTAATCTAATCCCCGTAGCTCTAAACAGTTCTCGGGCGAGTCAATAAGGCATGCAGGCACACACTCGCTCTGTGGGTCTAGCTGCACCTTTCCCCTTCTTCTCAGTTCCCATTTTCCACCTGCAGACTCGGCTCTCTAGAGGCCTGTTGACCATTAAGTTGTGGGTGACAGGTAAGAGATGTGATTGTTTGCAGGTCCTGTGAAGAGTGTAAGGAGAATTTCCAGATTTTCCAGGCTCCTGGCTCTCATTAACCTCAGGAGCACAAAGATCACCTCTCCTTATTCACAAAGCCAGCACTATACTTCGATGTCAGGAATGAGTGGAGGTAGGTTAGTTGTCCATGCTCTTTCACCAAGGCAGCCAGCCATGCTAACTCCATGTCAATATACACTTATTTTAAACTGCTTCCTTCAACAGGGTACCACCACCTAAACTACTCTCAATCTTTAAAGTTAGCAGGTAGTTACTCAAGTAAAAGTGTAAATACAAATGGCAGCTTTCCTATAAATACTAAAAGTATAAGTAGAAGACAGCACAAAAGTGACAGATATCCCTCTGGATAAGCAGTCCCTGAGAACCAAACCAGCAGAAGAGACTTTTGATGAAGGTTGCACAAATTAGCAAGAGGATTTCATGTTCTTGGAGCCATGTTCCCAAAACTATGTTCCATGAACGCATTCAGGGTCCCTGAGACCATATTAGGTGTTCCACAAAAGCAACTCCACAGTCAAGTAGGTGTGGAAAATTCCAAACAATACTCTAGGCCCTCCATAGTCTCTGATGAAGTTTCAAAATTCCCCCGCATGGGATGGCATTAAATATTCTAAATACTAAAGAAAAAGATGTGTCTGACTTTGATCAACCCAGATTTTCCAAATAAACTTCTTTTATTTAAGGCTTTTAATTTATTTTTTTAAGTAGTGTATCTACCAACATTTCATGGGTACTTAGATATTTAGCAAGCACTTCCCATGTGCCAGGTGCTGTGCTAAATAATTTACATAATATTAATTCACTTGATTCTCATACCTACAAGGCAGATAGGATTCTCTTATTTTACAGATGAAGAAACTAAAATCCACCGTAGGGGTGTCCATGTTATCCAGGCAGCAAGGTCCCGTGGTGCATGTTTCTTTAAACAATACAAGGAACACAGCATAGGAAGCACAGTGTTTCAGAGGGGCTGCCCTGACAAAGAACATAAAGATAATCTGTCTCTTTTGTTGAGAAAGTGCCTTACGTACTTGTGCTACTCCTAGGTACCCCATGGGTGTATATCTCTGTGCTGTGGTTTAAATAAACTCTTTCATCATAATGAGTTGGAGACAAAGGTATAGAAGAAGAGCCTATGGGGCACCCCAAGCTGAAGACGCCACAGTAGATAATGCCAACAGGTATACAAATCAAGGGATGGCATGTTCTCAAAAGTACATTGAAGCCAGAGTCAAGATCTCAGACCTCGTTTTACACACAAGTGAGGAAACTGGACCCAAGATAGTGTTTCACCCAAAGGCTCACAGCAATAGCTGGGCTCCTCTTTCCTGGTCTAGGATGTTTTCCTACACATAACTACATTGCTGCTAATTTTGAAGATTGAGAGTAGCTTCGACTGAGCTTCTCTGATGACAGAAGCAACCAAAACATATTCTCTCTTGACAATGGAGCTAGCACAGGCTCCCCAGGAGCATAGCTCAGCTGTTTTACCTCTTTGCCTTCTAATCCCTGCATTTGGTTTCTTTAATAAAGGGGAAAAAATCAAAACATCCTTTTCTTAAGCAAGAAGTATATTTCATCCTGTAGAACTCTCTAGGTTAATTGACTTGATTTGATTAATCCACAATGTAAACTTATATTAAACATCACATCATACACCATAAATATGTATAATTTTTATTTGTCAATGAAAAAAATTAATTAAAATTAATAGATAAAGACACATGCAGAAAAAAAAGAAACTAAAAAGAGAGAGAACTCCCTGGGACTCAGACCCAAGAGTACAGTACAGGCTGTAATTCCTTAACTTCTCCAAAATTCTCCTACTTGCCATGGCAGGTAGACACCCTATACAATGCGCATCCAAAGAAGGGAGCTGCTGAGTCAATGGAAGGTAACAGATGAGCCCCCTTTAAAGATTGGTGTGGGTGGGAAGACTGGCAAGCCACCGCTACAGCTGCAGAGGCTGCCAAAGCCTCTGAAAAGGGAATGTGAATCCTGCCCCCTCGATGTCACTGTTGCTAAGCCAAGCCAGCTGGGTCTAAGCAGAGGAGCCCATAGAGAAAGCTCCTGGCACAATTCTGTGCCTCCCCTTCCAATCCCTGAGTTGAGCCAGGCAGAGCCAGAACAAGCCTGTCACTTGGCCCTGGGGGCTTCCGTCTGCCCTGGACAAGACCCACGTTGGACCTCACCACTTGGAGAAGCCTGTTCAGGATGTAGTGAGGATGGCTGCACAAAATATGGCAGACATGGCTGAATCAGTTGATCCCCAAGAGGAAAGCCAACTCTGAGATGATTGTTTCAGACCATGAACTATGATCTGAGAAGATGGGAAATAAGCAAGCACAGATGTGTATAAACAAGGGTGGAGGAGGAGGGTGGAGAACACAGGAACCTATGCCCAACCAATTCAGGCCATAAAGCGCTTATAGCATATAAGGAAAATAGAGAAATCTTAGAATGTATGGAAACTAGAAAACTTGCTGTAAAAGAATAAAGAGCCTTAATATATTATAGCATGCTAAAGACATTCCATTTTATTACATGTGGGTTCATGCAACACTTACTACCAACAGGAAGAGGAAAAACTGAGTTAATCTACCCTTCATGTCCCACCTCCTCTGGGAAATCATCCCTCACCTCTCTAATTCACATAGGCCTTCCCTTTATGTGCCATGTCCTGTAACTATTTCTCCTATGTTTGTCTGTGTCCTTATGAAGTTCTCTGGGTCAGGCCAGGGTGTAGGCAGCAGAAGAGAACAGCCAAGGATTCAAATGTGGCTCAAAGTCTCAGGCAGGTCGCCAAGATCAGAACAGATGGTGAATGAGAAGTCCAGGTCTGAGGGATTGAAAGAATGAAGCAGTTCCTCTGCATCACAGCAGACCACCAGTTGAAAATCTAGGGAGACAAAAACAGCTTGAGGAGTTAGACAATTATATAAGTTGAAGGCAGGGAAGACTCAGAACTCAGCGGTTCAGAGAAATTGAAGAAAGAGTACCAAAGAGTGGGGACCCCAAACACAGGGTTGATCCCAGGGCAGAGGCCCTAATCTCTCTGCCCTCGTCTATGATCACACTTCCTACCATCATTCAGTCATCCCTAACCCCAAGAAGGAGTCATGGTTCTGGTTATGACATTTCGAAGGGCGGATGCTGAAGGGGCACTCAGTCAGTATTTTAAATATGCTGGCCACCCTTGATTAAGACAGCTGTAAAGGTGCAGAGAATGGACAGAAAAACAATTTTTACTCCTTTAAAACAACACAGATGTCATAAACTTTCATCCCCCAGTGCTTCGCTGCATTGCATGCCTGGTCAAAGATTCATTAAGAGATAAGAATAATTGAAAATCAGTCATTCATTGTTTAAATGCTAAAACTTCTGTTTCAGTCAGCCACTCTGAAACTGTCATTCAGTTAGCAAATACTTATTGACTGCCTATTGCATGCCAGGCACAGTGCAAGGCACCAAGTACTGTGGGGAATAAGAACAGTAGTAGTCCCTGGCATAAGAAAGCGTCCCATGCAGCCTAAACCGTATCTCCCTTCTTTCCTCCCTATCTTCCTCTCTCCCTCCCTGATTCATTATTTTTTTTTGTTTATTATTATTGTCTTGGAAGAGTAATTTTCATAGGTTCTGGTTAAACCCCACGATAAGTTTTCTATATAGCAAAATTATTACTATATCCCTTTAGAGATCCAAGTTGTTACTTTGTTGATCAACCTAAAATACACAGAGTAAAACAATAAGTTATTGACACTCCAAAGTCACAAAAGGCAAATGTGAATAATTATAAGATGAATGACATAGGGAAATGGTATTTAAATGTTGGCCTCTCTTAACAGCTTTTAAAGTCATATCTGAAATGTTAAGAGAATGTACATATTAATACTTTCATCTATCTATGCATACATACCCACACATTTATTTAGATGGATAGGTACATATATACATACATATATGTGGTTCTCTTTGTGTCCTTAGAATGTACATCAATACCAGGAAAGCTTAGAATATTAGAACTTGATATTCTAAGAACATTTTTGAAACGAGAAAACTGAAATCCAGGTAATCACTTAGGATCAAAGAACCAGTTTAAGAACTGGCTCTCACATCTCTTAGCTGCCAGCAAAGGGATGTTTCAATTGACATCATTTTAAGGATTAGCTCAAATTTGAAAGTAAGACTCTTGCACCTACAAAAAGCACAGAGATTTCAAAGAGCAATTAAGAAGAGACTCAAAAACATGATCATTTTAACTAACAAAATAAAGGTCAAATGAACAATGAATTCTAAAATATTCTCCTGTTCTTTTTATTTATGTTGTTCAGCTGGTAACTGTAGCTGGTGACTGTAGTCTTGTGTCTATGGTGCATCTCCTAGAAATTGGAGCTAGCTTTTTAAAAAAGCTAAGTAATTAATTTTGAAATAAACCCAAAAGAGCATACAAATTAGTGTTTATACAGTAATTATGTGGGTCTTCAGCCACTGGTTGCATTGTCTAGACCATTTATACAATGCACCCTTGCAGCTCAACTGCTTTTAGAATTTGGTCCAAAAGGAAAAGCATCGTACCCAAAATTTCTGTTGGACAATCACCTGTAGTATAATAGTCTGCTTGTAAAGCCTGATTTTAAAGAACAGCTATTGAAACAGAATACATCTGACATCAGAAATGTCACATTAACAGTTTAGTAAAAAGTCTCTAATGCTGCCGGCTTTAAGATAAAGAAACAACTGAGGTCAGGTGTGGTGGCTCATGCCTGTAATCCTAGCACTTTGGGAAGCCAAGGCAGGAGGATCACTTGAGGTCAGGAGTTTGAGGCTAGCCTGGCAAACATGGTGAAACCCCATCTCCACTAAAAATACAAAAATTAGCTGGGTGTGGTGGCCCACACTTGTAGTCCTAGCTATGCAGGAGGCTGAGGCAGGATAATCGCTTCAACCCAGGAGGCAGAGGTTGCAGCGAGCTGAGATTGCACCACTGCAGTCCAGCCTGGTGACAGAGCGAGACTCCATCTCAAAAAAAAAGAAAAAGAAACTGAGGACTTTTATTTTCAAGTAAAGGACATGGCATGTGTCAAATAAATGCACACCAACATTTCAGGACCAATATTGCAGGAATGCATGTTTGTTTTATGCAGATTTAATGCTAAATGTCCATGAATACTAAATATTTATTATTAATACTAAACGTCTACTATTGCCCATGTGAAAGCATTGACTGGAATTTTACAGTCATAACCATGTGTCAAAGAGTCAGAAAGTAAGAAATAAGGTAAATCGGGAAAAAGAGAGATTATTCATAATTATTCAAGTTCCCTCAAGACAAGAAAAGTTATCTCAGTCCTATGTGTATTAGTCTGAATAAGCTAGGTTGTGCTGTGGTAGCTAATACTTCCCTAAATCTCAGTGGTTTAACCCAGAAAGGCTTATTTCTCAATCCCACCAGACCACTTGTCCTCCAGGACAGCTGAGGGACTCAATCTGCTTAAATCTTATTGCTGTGAATCTTGGTGCACGTACTTTCAAGGCCACCATGACAACAGAAGAGAAAGCTAAAGGTAGCACATCAGTTTTCAAATGCTGCAGCTCATTGGCTACCTTCCTGCCAAGGGGCTGAGAGATGTGGGGAGCATATGGATATTCTATGAGGGGCAAATGTCTGTCCCACCATATGACCCTAATCTGTCTCCATCTAAATATAGGCTAGGAGAAGTTGGAGGTTAATTCTCGATTGTTCTAAGGAAGATTTCTCCAGCCCCCTTTTAATTTGTCACACTCCGATCAATGCCAACACAAATGTAGAAACTGATTTGTTTGTTTATACAACAAAATACTCAGGAGCTTCTTTACCTTCATGGGATGCACAAGTCCTATATATATATATTATATATATATTATATATATTATATATATTATATATATATTATATATATTATATATATATATTTTTTGAGCAGCCTTCTTAGCAGATGCCAGCGTTTCTCAACCTACAAAAGATTGGGCTTTCTGTCAACTCCTGCGGTGCCTACACATTTCCTAGTCCCAGAAACACCCGGATTAGGCAGTTGTGAGATTTGAGTGCTCAGTGTTGTAACAGGGTTTTGTTCTTTTCCATGAAGAGTTTGCTTTGTACTATTACTTTCTATTTCAGGTCATGGTTTTGCTTACGTTAATTTGATGATTCTCTCTAGAAAGTATACCTGAACTGTACAAATTCTGCCTTAGCTCTTAATAGCCTCCATAAATTAAGGTTGCTGGAGCCCCTACCATTCCCCAAAAAGTGGGTGTGGGAATATTTCGGGCTTCTGATCTTGTCCTTTTTTGTTTAAATTTTGCTCAAAATTTTTTTTTTTACCGTAAAGAAATCTCCATATAATATTTTCCAACAGAGTTAGCCAAGAATATATCCTAAGTGGGAAGCATTACATGTGTTACCATTTAGCACTGATATATCACTTAAATATGCATTCAATTGCAATGTGCTTTACCCAGCAGTGTGAACTCATGTGTATGGCACTGAATGGGTGTCTTGGGTTCCCTTCCAGCTCCCAAGCACTTTCATGCCATAACCTTGATTGAGTCACTCAACATTCTTCTGCTGGGTTTCCACAGAGAGGCGAGAGATGAACAGAGATGACATGTGTAAAACACACATTCTTTGAGGAGAGGGAAAGTGTTACATGAATTGAATGGTGAGGCATGAGTACTTGGCTGTTCGTCTATATGATATATGTCATTTATGGGAGATGTTAACTCCATCCTGAGGGCTTAAAAATAATCGGGGTATTCAGATTTTACTCTGACGATTCTGCTAAGATACATGAAACCAGAGTGGTCTTCTAACGTAGCTTCTTCCATGACCCTGAACCCCAGCGCCAGAATCCCTTATTTAACTTCCTATTCTGCTCATTTATTAAAAAGCATTGGGTTTGTTTCAAGACTGCTTAAACTCTCTGCCTTGTGTTTGCTGATTAAGCTAGAAAATATTCTTATTTTAACAGCAGATTTAATTTTATTTATTTACTTTCCTTATCTCCTCTGGTCTCCACTCATAATCTCCGAACTTGCTTCATTAGAAATGTACAGTTAAGCAATATTTTCCAGGAAAGAAGAGTTTGGGGACCTGCTTCCTGGAAATATTAACAGACCCTTGGTGAGAAAAGGCTTCTCCATTAAAATTGCTTAGTAAAATCAAGACTAGGAGGTGCTTTGGCCAATGTTTTTTAATGCATTTGATGCAGTTTTATTTTAAAGGACATTAATTAAAATTTTACTGGTTTTTATAGCCCATTGAAGTAGATTTAATACTGTATTTTATTTTTCCTTGTTAGCTTAAGCCTGTCATTTTTTTTTCTCTGACTCCTCCTCATAGAACAGGTCTTGAAGTATCTAGGATTTGGTTAATTGACAGAGCTTAGTCAAAGAATGTGTCTGTTTAATAAAGAAAATAATGCCCAATCTATACTGGGTCCTTATGTGATAAAATGGACCAAAATAGACATGAAAGATGAATTGGAACCACATCATGGAAGACACCAGAGACTATGATGAGGAGATTGGAATGTACTAAGTAGAAGACGAAGCTCCTTGAAGAGTTTTGAGGCAGAGATAGTATGTTATCTCCATTGTGTTTTAACAAAATGAACTTGTTAGTATAAAGATTGAATTTAAAAAAACAATATAAATGGAAAAAAGACCATTAAAGGGACATTTTTAATGAGACCAAAGCTAGTCCAGTAGCAGTGAGAATGAAGAGAAAAGGATAGACTGAAAGGCATTTCAAAGGTAAAATGAGCAGATCTTAATGGCCAATGAGGTAGAGGTGGTAAGGACTGAAATGTGAAAATAAGACAAAGGATGAATTAATGAATCTGTGTTGTATAGATGGTAAAAGGAAAATCCAGTACTTCCAGATCCACTCTCGTCCCCATATTTGTGTTTCATGGCACACCTAGTCTGAATCTAGTAGATTATTAACAATCTGCCTTTCTTGTCTACTATGTAACCTCGGCCTCAGTGACTATATTTCTGATCAGTGGATGCTTTAGGAAAGGCAGGGCAACAGGATATTTTAAAAATCCAGTTCTTCCTTTATCTCAATTGCCTTAAGACTGAACAAAGGCAAGGGACCAATGCACAAAGAAAATGGTGTTGCTGAAAACATTCTGATGCTTTTGTTCTCCACGGCCTCTGAGCATTGATACCTTGGTGGCCAACAAGCTACCTGACCACTTAAGATCTGGAGTACCTCAGGACACAAAAAGGTACTTCATAGGAAGATTTATGGTTGCAGCAAAGCATTCCATAGTGTTGAGCTTTAGCAATAAACTTGAATATCACCAGATCAGCTTGGTATGACATTCATAAACAATAATTTTAGTTTACTGTCAACTATATGCAATGTCTGAGCAATCTTCTTGGACTGTTGCTCAGGTGACCTATTTATTTATGCAAAAGATGGGTCATCTTAACTCAGTGGACTAAGGTCCCAGACCTAATAGTTGTTATGAATGTGTAGGCAAACTTGAGGGCTAAATTCAGTTCTTTTTCTCAGTCATTTGGCTGGGGGGAGAAAAAAGAACAGAAAAGGACCTATCTCTGTCTCCCAGCATGATTACTGAAACCAAGTTTAAAAAGAAACCTATACTGATTATTCAATTTCAATGTCTCCCCCAAATAAACACCCATTGAAGAACTTGAAAGATACTGGAAAGATCAGAAAGCTACTCAAAAAGCTACATGACTGTTTAACGCAAATGAACTAATTGTCTATGGGTATTACAGGGAGTGAGTGATCAAGGCCTGGGTAGTTGAATAAGGTATCATCAATAAGCTGGAACTTGAATGAGGCCTTCAAGGACAGGTAGCTCTTGAGTGAGTAGAGAAGAAAAGGCAGAATATTTAGGAAATGAGAAATATAGGCTCACACAGAAAGTGTCTGTGCTGATGAAGAACACCTATTTCAAATTGAATCCAGATAGAGAATTTATTGGCTCATGTCACTACAAAGTCCAGGAGTTCATCTTTAAGGACTGAAACACCACTACCAGAACACTACCTCTAATCTTCTCTCAGCTCTTTTTTCCTCTGTGTTAACTTTACATTCTGGAAGGCACTCAAACAGTTGCAGCAAAATGGTGCACCATTCTCAGCTGTCCCATAGAGCAGTGAAAACTATGACTTCTCTCTAGTTGATCCGCAAAAGTCTCAGTATCGCCATTGATTCCAACCATCTTGAATTATCTACTCGTTCCTGAACCAATCACTACAGTAAGGAAGATGAAACATCCTGATTGGTCAAGCTGGCATTACATGGATCAGGGAATGGGGATAAACAACTAGTTATCATTAGATATTACTGAAAAGGCAAAACACAAGATGTTCCCTATAGCACTAATGCATTTTGATATTATACAGATCAATCTGAGATGAATAAAAACTACTTTAATGGAGTAATGAAAAATATGATAGGAGGAAGTACTGATATAAGATCAGCAACAAAGTAGTATGGATTTTTTTCTGTAAAACATGAGAAATCATTGAAGATTTTTGAACAGGGAAGTGCCATTTCAGTTCAAACGACACTTTAATTTCAAATATGTCAACTAAAAATGTTCTTTCACAGAGAAGTTTGCTAAATGCATTGAAGTTACATTTTTATAGAAAAGTTATATATTTAATGGAAACTGTTAATATACACATTAGTTTTCTCAATGTCTATGAAGTTGTGTGAAAGTGAAAAAGAAGGCTTCATCTACCCAATAAATTAATTCTATTAGAGCAATTTCACATATTAGCTGACATGAATGTAAAGTGAAGAACAGCCTCTTATTTGCTTTATTCATTAATTCATTTGTTTATATGTCTTTCTCTCTTCCACATCCAAGGCATTCAAGCCATCATAGCTTGCATCCAAAGGAAAATATGGATTTGGTCCCCTGCATCTGAATAATGTTACTCTGGAATGACAAGACAACTGAAAGTACCTTCTTCACTGAACCCCAAATCTGTGTCAAGAAGCATGCTAATATGCTAGACAGCATGCATACTTTGCAAGATGAATATTATTGTTCCCATTTTACAGATGAGTAAGCTGAAGTTTAATGAGTTTACAGAAAATTTCCCCAAAAAAACACAACTGGTAAGTGCCGGGCATGTAGGAGTCAAAGCCAGTCTGTCTAACTCCCAATCTGTGTTCTTTTTACTATACTAGGTTGCCTTTCCACAACTGAACTTGCTAATGGTATTGTTTCTAAGGTCACTGACTAGAGTCCCAATTTAAAACAAACAAAAAAAAGCTTCACTGTTGATGAAATTACTTGTCAAGAACAAGTTTCTGGTTTGCCAAAAGCAATAGCTGTTCTACATCACAAGAACTTAAAATCACTCTCTCACACACACACACACACATACACAAATACATGGAGAGAGAGAGAGAAAGTTTCACTGTATACTACTTATGTATAATTCTGATTTTTGTAAATTAAGTGTAACGTTAAATTTCCTGGAGACTTTGAATATTTTAAAAGAATGCTGGAATGGGTATTTTTGTAAAGTGAATGATATATTAATGTGGCTACTTTCTGTATTACTCATTATTCATTATTTCAGATATGAATATAGCTGAGTTATCCTAAAGTCTGACCCCCACGCATTTTGAAGCAAAAAGTATGATCAGTGTGTGGCTTCAGAAAGAATAAACAGCCAAAATGTTAAATATGTTATCTGAAACCTAATATTGTTTTAAACTTTATGCCATTCTAAACATGAAAGATGAGAGCTGGCTTTGAGCTGGGAACATGGTTAGGTACATCCGGTCACCTGGGGTGATATTTTTTTCTAAATCCTTCATCTACATTAGCTGCCTCCCAATCAACACTTTTGAGTTCTGATGTGGTTGATGTATTTGAGCAAAGCTACCCTTGAGGCTCATAAAAGAGGCAGTTAGCCTCTCACCAACTCTAATGTATATGGAGAGAGCCCCATAAAATAAACATACTTCAAGTTGTTTGCCCAGTAATGGATATTTGACCTACCCCACACCCTTCCCTAATGCCAGCATAAGTGGTGTTTGAAGAGCAAAGCAAATTCCATTTCAGTTCTAAAGCTTGGTCTGATGCACTTTGACTAATATTTCAAACTTTAGGGAGCAGCTTCACCATAAAGATCTCTTCAAGCAGCTCTTGAGTTGGCCATTATTCCACAAATGTAGCAATTATTTCCATCTACACAGAAAACACAAAGGCTTCTGTGGCCAGCTGAAAAGAAGAGTTATACTGTAAACACTATAGAAACCAAATAGCTAGAACCAATAGCTGAAAGAAAAGAATGATGGCCTTTCTTTATCCATTTGCCTAACTCCCAATCAGGAAATGATGTTCCTTAAATTCGGCAATGCACTGCACATGAAAAGTCTGAAAATTTCATAGACCACTGATGCATACTTACCCTTAAATAAACTGATCCTATATAAATAGTCAAAGATGTGCATCAAGGTTTAGCTACAACGATGTTCATGGCAGTCTTATTTCATTAGTGAGAAATTGAAAATGACCCAGGTATACAACAAAAGGTGTGTCAGTTTTCTATTGCCATATAACACATTACCACAGGCTTAGTTGCCGAAAACAGCACAAATGTATTATATTAAAGTTCTGTAAGTCAGAAGTCCATTGGGCTTTTCTGGGTTCTCTGCTTCAAGTCTTCACCAAGCTAAAATCAAGGTGTCAGGGGAGCTGCATTCCATAGCGGAGGTTGTAGGGAAGAATAGGCCCCTGTTTCCTCTTGGTAGTAGGACTGACATCTTTGTTTTCTTACTGATTCTCAGATGATAACTGCTCCTAGCTTCTAGAGACCTCCAAATTTCCTGGCTTATGATGGGGCCAGTCCTTCTCACATCACAGCTCCCTGATCTGTGCTTCTGCCTCCATCTTTCATTATGAAATGCCATGTGATTACACTGGGCCCATCTGATAACCCAAGAAATTCTCCCTGCCTAAAGATGAGTAACCTTAATTCTATCTGCACAAAAGAAGTTGTCATGTAATTTAACATATTCACAGATTCCAGGGATTAGGGCATGTTGATCTTTGGGGACCTATCACAATAGGGTAGCAGTAAAATAAAGCATGGAATATGCATGAACTTAAATGGAATATAAGTAAAAGTGATTGTGTTAAAAAATTACTGGCATAAGAAAATGCTAAGTAAAATACCACATTGAAAAACATTAAAATTAAAAAACAGGTTACTCAATAGTATGGATGGTTTCATCCCATTTTTTTGTAGAGTGAAAAAAATCTGTTTGATATATGTATGACAGGTCTGTATATCTCTACCTAGCTCTACATCTGTTCAATACTTGTATATCTATCTAGGTAAAAAGGTATACCCCAAAATATTCATTGGTTATTTCTGAGGTTGGGGATTACAGGTGAATACTTTTAGATTAACATATATTTTTGAACTTATCTAAAATGAATAAGTATATTATCTACAACACACGCACACGTACATTTTTTAAATTAAAGTTTTCTTTTATAAGTAGAGTGCAGTAGCTAATCCTTTGGCCAGCCAATTGACCAACCTAAAGCACCAAAAACTGTTTCTGTAAGATATAGTGAAATTCTCACTCTCATGGGACTGAACCCAATTCTAGTTCTCAGCCACCCAGCTCTAGTTCTGAAAAATCGAATCTTTATCCCAGTGTCCCAATAGCTATTAAACAAAATTATAAGAGAAGGATCTCACTGACTCTCTACAGCTGCAATAATATATTGTTGTTTAATGTCATCTCTGAGAAATTTTCTGACATGGTGCAGTCTGAAACATCCATATGTCAGTGTTGGGTTTGGTTTAAATTTCAGATAGCTAAAAATAAGTCTTTCTCCTCCTTTTGGTTTTAAAGTATAAGCAGATCTAGCTTTGATGTACAAATCTTATAAACGAAACAATTTGCTGTCCCCACCCAAAGACAGCTAGTGCAACTCCAGAAAGAAAGATCTATCCTTAACAGTTTACTCTGCATTCTAAGTGTGGTTTCCGTAAGAACATACTGTATACAACTTTGTTCCTAAGGTTATTTCTGTTGGTGCCAAATTGACTTCAATTCACAACAATCATATGGTGCATTCCCATGTAACTTGGATGTTCTGTTCTAAAGAAAACATAGGGTTTTTTCTTAAGCAACCATTTCTGTTTATGGAAGATTCACCTCCACCCTGGGGATTATACTTAGAGTCCGTCTCCAAATGTGGATTTAATAATTAAAAGACATAGCAAATACTTTGATTTCTACCTAAGAATAGACTGAAGACCATGTCCTATCAGTAGCAGACTGGTGGGGCACCTTAGAGCATTGTGGTTAAAAAGTATGGGCTCTCCTGCCAAAGTCCTGGGGTACCAAAATCATTGGGTTCAAATCCTGTCTCTGACCTTTAATCTCTATGTGACTGTAAACCAATTATTTAATCTCTATATTTCCCAGTTTGTAAAACAAAGATAATATTACCTAAATTCAAAGACTATTCTGAGGTTTGAATGAATTAAACATATAGAGTACTTGGAGCACTGCCTGATATATGCTAGTAATAGTAGTTGCAAGAGAACCATGTAAAGGAGACAGTAATACTATTTACAGTATTATCCATGATGAGAGAGAGAGAGAGATTCTTTAAAAGAATCATGACCATTTACCAAGAGTGCAAGAAGCTAACATTCTACTAACTAGCCTGCTACCCTCCTGCTTCAAGACTTTTGAGCTGGCTTTTCTCTGAACCACATGCTTCCTCACTGAAATATCCATATGGTCCATTATCTCACTTCCTTCAGGACTTTGCAGTAATAACTTCTCAGTGAAGCCCATCTTGGTCACCCAATTTAAAATTACACCACCACCCTCAATCTGGTACTCCCATTCCCCCTACCTGATTTCTTTTCTTCTACTGCACTTTTAACATTCCACATAATTTATTTATTGTGTTTACTGTTACATAAGTTCCAGGAGAGCAGAGATGTATGTCCTTTTCTTTTCTTTTTTTAGAGATGACATCTCACTCTGTTGCCCAGGCTGAAGTGTGTCTGTTTGACATTGTTAATATATCCTCAGCATCTACAATAGCACTTGACTCACAGTTGATCTCTATAAATATTTGCTCAGTGAGTGAATAGCCACTACCTTGAAGAGTAGTGGCTTTGTCTAAAATGGAATCAAAGATTCAACTCAGAGCTCCCTCAACAATCCTAATGGGAGCCCCAGATAGTATGTGTTTCTCCCCTGATAAGATCTCCAGTGGAAGTTCTAAATTGACAAAGTGAGGCAGAACAGTAGTCTGGATCATCAAGATGGCTGACTAGAAGCTCCCAGCACTTGCCTCCTCCATAGAAAAGACCCAAAACAATAAATAGATAACTCTTGTATGGAATATCTAAGGAAAAACACTGGAATCCAGCAAGAAAGTGACAAAGACCCTCTAAGGCATGGAAATTCATGATGGCAGCATAGAGAGGGAAGCAAAGCAGGCAGCCAGGATGAATTCAGAGTCAAGAGGGATTCCCCACTGCAGGGAAAAGATAAGCAGAAGATCTCCAGAAATCCACATTCTCACCACAGATACCTACAATCATAACTACAGGAGAGTCCTCACAGACTTCACAGGCCCTGAGTCCAGTATACTGGGGAGCTACCTGGAGCCAATGTGGCTGCATTATTCCAGAAAGAAGATTCACACTTGGTCGCCCTCACTCCCCAGGAACCAGGCTGCTGCAGCAAAATAGCATTTTGAGAGCAAAGAAACCACCAGAGTACAACCTGACAGAGGGCCCAATAACATTAACATTTCCACATCCCTGGGACTCACTGACATCTTACCACATTCATCCAAAGGTCTGCAGCATTGTGACACCAGCTGGACCCAGAGGTACAGCTGAGAACCCAGCACCCAAGTTCATGTAGCACCCTACACCCTGGGGAACAGGAAGTCCCGCGCAGCAGAAAGGCTGCCCACAGAACCCAGGGAGCCAATGTGTGCCCTTCCAGAACCTGAGAACCACCTGCCTGGGGACCAGAGAAATGGCCCACCCATGGCTTGCTGCTGCTCCCCACCAATGACCCTGCCACCTCCAGCAGGGATGCTGCATGCCCACATGTGCTACCTAAAGGCACAAGGACCAGCCTACCCAATGTTCACATCCTCAACAAAACCATGCCACAGCCACCACAAACAACCAAAGCCTAGGCCACTGAGGCAGTTGCAGTCAAATAAATCATATGGAGACTACTGCACTCACATAGCATCAAAGCCAGAGCAACCTACCCAACCTACACTATAGAACACTACAGGAAAAAGTCTTTCCCTGCGAAAGCAACTCTATAGAATTGGAAGAAGTGACTGTTCTGCCAGATGCACAAATATCAACATAAGGACACAAGAAATATGAAGAAGCAAGGAAATATAACACTTACAAAGGAAAAAAATAATTTTCCAGTAACAGACCTCAAAGATAAGGAAATCTATGAAATGCCTGAAAATGAATGAAACACAATGATCTTAAGGAAATTCAGTGAGATATAGGAAAACAAATAGACAGTTCAACCCAATCAGGAAAACAATTCATGGTCTGAATAAGAAATTCAACAGAGATAGATATTATTAGAAAGAACCAGATAGAAATCTTGGAACTTAAGAATTTAATTAATGAAATAAAAAATACAATTAAGCATTTCAACAGTAGAAGAGCTCAAACAGAAGAAAGAATATCTGAACTTGAAGGATGGTTTTTAAAATAACCCAGTCAGACAAAAACAAAGAAGCAGACAATACGAAAGAATAAGGAAACCATATGGGACATACGGACACCATTACACAAATAAATATTTGCATAATGGAAGTTTCAGAAGAAAGGATAGGCAAAGTCATAGAAAAATAACTAATAAAATAATAGCTGAAAACTTTCCAAGTCTTGTGAGAGATATAGACATCCAGATACAGGGTGCTTAAATATCCCCAAATAGGTTCAACCCACAAAGGACCTCTCTGAGACATATTATAGCTAAGGTGTCAAAAGATGAAGATGAAGAGAGAATTCTGAAAACAAAAACAGAAAAGCATCAAGTCACACATAAGGGAATTACCATCAGACTAACAGCAGATTTCTTAGAGGCCAGGAAAGAATGAAATGATATATTCCAAGTGCTGAAAGAACACTGTAAAACAAGACTACTATTCCTAGCAAAGCTATCTCTCAGAAATGAAGGAGAAATAAAGTCTTTCTCAGACAAGCAAACTCTGAGGGAATTCATAAATTAAAAGACTGTCCCTACAAAAATTATACTTCTGGAAGCAAAAGAACAATATCTACCATTACAGAAACAGAAAAAAAACACACAAAAGTACAAAATTCACTGGTAGAGCAGATACAGAAATTAGAAAAAGGAAAGAGTCAAATATTATTACCACAGTAAATCACCAAACCACAAAGATAAACAATAGGAGAGTAATAAAGGAACAAAAGATATGCAAAACAGCCAAAAAATAATTAACAAAATGATGTACATTCTTACCTATCAATAAGAACCTTGAATGTAAATGAATTAAATTCGCTAACTATAAGATAGGCTGGCTGGGTGCAGTGGCTCACATCTGTAATCCCAGCACTTTGGGAGGCTAAGGCAGGTGGATCATGAGGTCAGAAGATCAAGACCATGCTGGCCAAAATGGTGAAACCCCATCTCTACTAAAATACAAAAAAATTAGCCAGGTGTGGTGGCACATGCCTGTAGTCCCAGCTACTTGGGAGGCTGAGGCAGGGGAATCTCTTGAACCTGGGAGGCAGAGGTTGCAGTGAGCCGAGATTGTGCCACTGCACTCCAACCTGGCGACAGAGCAAGACTCCGTCTCAAAAAAGAAAAAAAAAAAAAGATAGGCTAAGGCTGCCTAAATGAATTTTGTTTAAATCCCTAACTATATGATGCCTACAAGAAACTCACTTCACCTGTAAAGACAGAGCCTGAAAGTGAAGGGATGGAATACGATATTCCACACAAACAGAAACCAAAAGCAAGCAGTAATTGCTATTATATCAAAAACATAAAAAGAGACAAAGAAGGTCAATGATAAAGGGATCAATCCAGCAAAAATATATAGCAATTCTAAATATGTGTGCACACAACACCAGAGCACACTCATATATGAAGAAAAAATTATTAGATCTAAAGGTAGAAATAGACTCCAATACAATAGCAGGGAGGGACTTCAACACCCCACTTTCAGCATTGAACACATCTGGACAGAAAATTTAAAAAAAATTAAACATAAACTTAATTGTAGACCAAATGGACCAAACAGACCTTTACAGAACATTTTATCTAACAGCTACAGAATACACATTCTTTTCAGCAGCATATGGAATGTTCTCCAGGATAGATCATATGATGGGCCACAAAACAAGTCTCAATAAGCTTTTTAAAATTAAAATTATATCAAGTATCTTCTCAGACCACAATGGACTAAAACTAGAAATCAGTAACAAGAGGAACTTTGGAAAAAGTACAAATACATGGAAATTAACAAATATCTTCCTGAATAACCAATGAGTCAATGAAGAAATGAAGAAGGAAATTTTAAAATTCTTGAAACAATGAGAATAGAAACATAACACACCAAAACCTGAGGTTATAGCAAAATCAGTACTAAGAGGGAATTTTATAGCAGTAAATGCCTACATCAAAAAAGTAGAGATTTCAAATAAACAACCTAACAGTGCACCTAAGGATCTCGAAAAGCAAGAACAAACCAAACCCCAAATTGGGAAAAAGAAGGAAACTATAAAATCAGACCAGAACTAAATGAAATACAGCCCCCAAAATACAAAAGATGAACAAAAAATTCATTTTTTTTGAAAAAATAAACAAAATCCACAAACCACTAGCTAGACTAGAAAATTATGAGAGAAGATCCAAATAAATAAAATCAGAAATGAAAAAGGAGACATTACAACTGATACCACAGAAATACAAAGGATAATTAAAGGCTACTTGAATAACTATATGCCAACAAATTTGAAAACCTGGAGAAAATGAATAAACATCTGGTCACATATAAGCTAACAAAATTGAACTAGGAAGAAATAGAATACCTGAACAGTCCAATAACAAGTAACAAGATTGAATCATTAATAAGAAGTATCCCAACAAAGAGAAGTCCACAACAGAATGGCCTCACTTTTGAATTCTAGCAAACTTTTAAAGAAGAACTAACATCAATTCTTTGCAAACTATTCCAAAAAATTTAAGAGGAGGGAATTCTTTCTAATTAATTTTACAAGGCAGCATTACCTTTATGCCAAAATCAGAAAAGGATACAACAACAAATACACAAAACAGACCATTATGCCTGATGAACGTAGCTGCAAAAAATCGTCAACAAAATACTAGCAAACCAAATCCAGCAGTATATCAAAAAGCTAATACACCATAATCGGGTGAGATTTAACTCAGGAATGCAAGGATGGTCCAACATCTGCAAATGAATAAACGTGATACATCACATCTAAAAATGAAGAACAAAAAACATATGATCATCTCAATAGATGCCGAAAAAGCCTGTGATAAAATTCAACATCCCTTCATGATAAAAACTCTCAACAAATTGGTATAGAAGGAATATACCTCACACAATAAAGACCATATATGACAAACCCACAGCTAACATTATACTGTATGGGGAAACATTGAAAGCTTTCATCTAAGATCTGGAACAAGACATCTAAGATCTGGAACAAGAACTTTCACTGCTCTTATCCAACACAGTACTGGAAGTTCTAGCCAGATCAATCATGCAAAAGAAAAAAAAAATGAAGAGCATTCAAATTGGAAAAGAAGAAGTCAAATTGTCTCTCTTTGCAGATGACATAATCTTACATATTAAAAAAATTCTAAAGACTCCACCAAAAAACCTTTTAAAACTAACAAATTCAGTAAAGTTGCAAGATACAAAATCAACTTACAAAAATTGGTAATGCTTCTAATACCAATAATGAACTAGCTGAAAAAGAAATTAAGAAAGTAATCCCATTTACAATAACTCCAAAAAAAAAAAATACCAAGGAATAAATTTCTCTGAACAGGTTAAAGATCTCTACAATGAAAACTACATAACACTGAAATTCAAACTGGGTTCAGTGTGTACTGCTTAAGTGATGGGTGTACCAAAATCTCACAAATCACCACTAAGGAACTTATTCATGTAACCAAATACCACCTGTTCCCCCAAAACCTATGGACATAATTTTTTTTTAAAAAAAGACCAATTTGGTTTATATACTTGGCCTGATTATTTGTATAAAGTGCAGCAAGAATAATTAGTTTTCACTAGCCTTTTAAAATTGGCTTTGATGGAACTTTGTTGCATAAAAGGAGTCTAAAAAAACAACCACTGAACTTGTAGAGGGCACAAGCAAACAGAAAAATATCTCACATTCCTGGATTGTAAGAATTAATATTCTTAAAATGAGCATGCTATCCAAAGAAATCTACAAATTCAATGCAATCCTTATCAAAATACCAATGGCATTCTTCACAGAAACAGAAAAAAGAAACTCCTAAAATGTGTATGAAACAATTAACCATGAATAGCCAAAGCAATACTGAGCAAAAAGAACAAAGCTGGAGGCATCACGTTACCTGACTTTAAAA